>NC_000009.12:98826612-98978127 GCF_000001405.40 Homo sapiens
CCCAGGTGGCAGAGCAAAGGAGGCTCCTGTCTATTTCATCTTCTGTTTGGGACAGGGAGGCCCAGAAGGCCCCGGGTTGGGATGAGGCGCTCCTCCGAGATTGTCACGGTGACCCCTGTTGCTTTGTTTGCCTCCCTAGAGCACCTGA
This sequence comes from Homo sapiens, assembly GCF_000001405.40. Taxonomy (NCBI): domain Eukaryota; kingdom Metazoa; phylum Chordata; class Mammalia; order Primates; family Hominidae; genus Homo; species Homo sapiens. The sequence continues at coordinate 98,826,761 of NC_000009.12, forward strand.
AGGAGCGCTTGGCCAATGAGCTTTCGGGACTGCCCAAGGTGCGCCTGATCCGCGCCAACAAGAGAGAGGGCCTGGTGCGAGCCCGGCTGCTGGGGGCGTCTGCGGCGAGGGGCGATGTTCTGACCTTCCTGGACTGTCACTGTGAGTGCCACGAAGGGTGGCTGGAGCCGCTGCTGCAGAGGTACGTGAGCCGCCCACCATGGGAGAGACAGCATGTTACCTGGAGTAGGTAGCATGAGGAACAGACTCATCACGTCACTTGAGGGTTAACGGGTTGCCTGGGCTCAGCTGCTTCTCTGTCACTGGGCAGGAGAGCAGTCCCTGCTTAGTTCGGCTGTTGAGACCGTTAAATGATTTAGTGCATGGCAAGTGCCTGGGAGTGCCAGCTGGAGAAGGCCCTGTGTCACTGTTTGCTTTTATTATTCCTTCTTTTTTCTTTTTATTTTTTGAGACAGAGTTTCACTCTTGTTGCCCAGGCTGGAGTGTAATGGTGTGATCTCGGCTCACCGCACCCTCTGCCTCCCGGGATCAAGCGATTCTCCTCCTCACTCCTCCTCAGCCTCCGGAGTAGCTGGGATTACAGGCATGCACCACCACACCTGGCTAATTTTATATTTTTTTGTAGAGATGGGGTTTCACTGCTTTGGTCAGGCTGGTCTCAAACTCCTGACCTCAAACTCCTGACGTCAGGCGTGAGCCACCACACCGGCCTTATTATTCCTTTTTATCCGGGCTTGTTGCAGAAAACCGAGGAAGTATCATCAACCAAGAACATTTTAAAAAATCCTCAGTCAAATAGAATGGCACTCCTAAAGAATACACATTTTGATGTATTTCTTTCAAGCAGGGCTGACTTAACCCTTACACCCAGGAGGAACAATGCCTAGGGCCCATGAAACTGGAAGGAACCCAGATAAATGTTATGAATTTCTTTTAAAATCAGAAGGGAAAAATGAATATCATAATAATGGGTATGTAATAATGAATCTAGCATGGATTGTATTTGTCTTTATACCAGTATAGTCATAAAATATGCTTTTTAATATGTCTGGTTGTTATAGAGGAAGGGTCCCTGAAAGTCATAATGTAACCCTGTTCTCAAGGCCATTGTCCTTGCTGTTCCACGGCATCTCACTCTCACCCTCCTACCTTCCCCCCTCAAGAAGCCACCATCTACTGGGGCCCACTTTTTGTTCCCTTCTGTCTCTTTCCTCCCCATGCTCTGCCTCGTCTCTCTGCCCTTTCTGTTTCTGCATCATAGAAGTCAGGAGCTGGGCTTGCCAACCAGAAGCTCCCCAGGTGGGAGAGGAAGGAAGGGATCTTTGCTTGGCCTCCCCGCTGTGGAGCAGGCAAAGGGCTGGAGGGGCAGGGTCTCTGCAGCTGGGGAACTGCTTCCCCGCAGATGCCAACTCCATGGTTGTTAGGGTTGTCTGAAAGAGCTGGGGACCCACTTGCCTTCCTTCCTGGGTGTGACCCAGCTGCCCCCTGCCCTGCCACTTCCTACTGTCCTGGCTTCTTGTCAGCTGCAGGTTCTATAGCTGTCTCTTTCTCCTCCTCAGCTCTGATGAGCTTTCCTAGCAGCAGATTCGAGGCTCCTCTGGCCTGTGATGGAGCTGGAGATTAGAGCACAGTTATGGCCGAGTGCTCCCTCTGGAACCCAGACCAATGGGCTCCCCTTCCTTCGTTCCCCCACTGCACTCATAGATGGCCACCTCTACACAGGTCTGAAATCATGGGGAGAGGACATTTCTTTCTCTGCAGCTGATGGATTAATGCTTTTAGAATTCCTCTTCATCCCACCCTTTGGACATGGGCCAGCCGCCTCCTTGCTGCATGCCTGTGGAAGAGGGGATTTTCCACCTCGGTTGTCTGTTAGAAATACCTGGGAAACTTTAAAAAATTTATATTTTAATTTTTAATTGTTGTGGGTAAATAGTAGGTGTATATATTTATGGGGTACATGAGATATTTTGATACAGGCATGCAATGCATAATAATCACATCAGAGGAAATGGGATATCCATCCCTTCAAGCATTTATCTTTGTGTTACTAATAATCCACTCATACTCTTTTTTTCTTTTTTTTTTAGACAGAGTCTCACTCTGTCACCCAGGCTGGAGGGCAGTGGCGTGATCTTGGCTCACTGCAACCTCCGCCTCCCAAGTTCAAGTGATTCTCCTGCCTCAGCTTCCTGAGTAGCTGGGACTACAGGTGCGTGCCACCGCACCTGGCTAGTTTTTGTATTTTTAGTAGGGACAGAGTTTCACGATGTTGGCCAGGCTGGTCTCGAACTCCTAACCTCAGTGATCCACCCACCTCAGCCTCCCAAAGTGCTGGGATTACAGGCGTGAGCCACTGCACCTGGCCCAGTCATACTCTTAGTAATTTTTTTTATCTATCTATCTATCTATCTATCTATCTATCTATCTATCTATCTATCTATCTGAGACAGAGTCTCGCTCTGTTGCCCAGGCTAGAGTACAGTAGGGTGATCTCGGCTCACTGCAGCCTCTGCCTCCCAGGTTCAAGTGATTCTCCTGGCTCAGCCTCCTGAGTAGCTGGGATTACAGGCATGCACTACCATGCCAGGCTAATTTTTGCATTTTTAGTAGAGATGGGGTTTCACCATGTTGGCCAGGCTGGTGTAAAACTCCTGACCTCAAGTGATTTGCCCGTCTCAGCCTTCCAAAGTGCTGGGATTACAGGCATGAACCACCACGCCCAGCCAGTTATTTTTAAATGTACAATTAAATTATTTTTTTTTTTTACTATAGTCACTCTGTTGTGCTAGCAACTGGTACGTCTTATTCATTCTTTCTATTTTTTTGTACCCATTAACCATCCCCACTCCCCCAACCAACTACCCTTCCCAGTCTCTGGTAACCATCCTTCTGCTCTCTGTCTCCATGAGTTCAATTGTTTTAAGTTTTAGCTCCCACAAATAAGTGAAAACATGCAAACTTTGTCTTTTTGTGCCTTGCTTATTTCACCTAACGTAATGACCTCCAGTTCCATCCATGTTGTTGCAAATGACAGCATCTCATTCTTTTTTACGGATGAATAGTACTCTATTGTGAGTATATGTACCACATATCCTTTATCCATTCATCTGTTGATGGACACTTCGGTTGCTTCCCAATCTTGGTTATTGTGAATAGTGCTGCAACAAACATGAGAGTGCAGATATATTTTCGATACACTGACTTCCTTTCTTTTGGATATGTACGTAGGAGTAGAATTGCAGGATCATATGGTAGCTCTATTTTTAGTTTTTTGAGGAACCTTCAAACTGTTCTCCATAGAGGTTGTACTAATTTACATTCCCACCAACGGTGTGTGAGGGTTCAACCTGGGGAGCTTTTTAAACACACCAATGCCTGGTCCCATTTGGATCTAACTCTTGGGGCTGGGGCCTCGGCTTCTGCATGTTTCAAAAGCTCCCCAGGGGACTTTGGTGTGCACGAGCATTGGGACACATCAGACTGTGGACTCTCCCTAAGGTGGCCCCAGACAGGAGTGGTAACCCTTTCCATCCAGGGGCTTTTGGAAATGTGGGAGGGTATTCTTGGTTGTCATGTCAACCAGGTAGGGCTCCTGGCATTTTGTGTATCAGGGAGGCCAAGTATCCTGCAGATCAGCCCTGTTCAGTGGAGAATGGTTCTGGCCCAGATGCCAATAGCATCCCTGTGGGTCCTGCACATTCTCCAGCCACGACTGGGAGTCCTATACTCCAATGCTGGTACAGCATTCCCCTAGTTTTCCCCTCCTTGTAAAAATTAGGCTTTCTGTGGTTCCAGCCAGCTTGATCACAAGCCATCAGTTCCTGGGGGAGCTGGCCTTTGCCAGGGGCCAGCTAGAACTTGCCCAGCAGGTCTGATGTTGGCCCTTTCAACCTTTTAAATAATGCCCTCAATTGCTTTAAATAAGCGGATGTTGGTGGATACCTAGTATGCAACTTCCTCAATTTGGGGAACTCACAGATCTAAGACCCTGTCTCACGCAACCTGTTCTGAACAGTGCAATTTCCCGATAGTTGTAATTCTTACCCCAGAGTGGTATTTCTAATATCCCCTCTGACTTTCTGGTGTCATTCTAAGGACACCGAAAGCTCAAGTCTGGTTGATCTCTGTTGCACTGTCCTGTGTGGCAGGACTCTTAGGATTTTTAGGTCTCAAATTCCAGACAACGTCCCCCAAAATGTACTCAAGGAAATCTAGTGTTCACACGTGGTCTAGTCTCAGTCCATCTTTCCTGGTGTAGTGGCAAATGCAAAGAAACACGGCCTGGAAGCATGCTGAGGGATGGCCAGATTTGTAATAATGTGGAGAGAACCGTTGAAGCCAACACACAGGCTGATACCTGCAAAAGGAAATTATAGCATTTTTCACTATATGTAATATTTCACAATAACAAACATTAAAATAAAAAAATAGCAATAGTTTCAGGTTCTCTGCCAGCTATCTTAAAAACATTTTCCCAGGAAGTCCTCACATTAACCCTCTGAATGGATATTATAATTCCAGTGTTACCACTGAGGCAATAGGCTCTGAAGTTAGGTGACTTGGCTAATGTCACACAACAAATAAATAGCAGGATTAGAATTTATATTCTAATTCCAAAGCTGACCCTTTGGTCTGGGTGCACCTTTGTTCTTAGGAGATAAGTATTTCTTGATGTTAAGGTGTTTCATTGTGATTAAACCTCTTGCACTTCTGAGAAATTGAAATCATAGAGCGTTTGGTCAGAATGTCCATGGATAGAATCAGAGCATATTAAAGTCATGGGACTTTTTGTTTTAAAGCCCTCCGTGGCCCCCAGATCTCCCCCATGGTGGTCACCTGCCAGGGCTCTGACACGGCTGCAGACACCTGGAATAAGAGAAGCAGGTCTTTCTCAGATGTTCCTCCCTCTTATTGGAAGGAAGACAAGAATTCACCCTTGAATTTCCCAATTGTCTTCCTGCTGCCCGTCTGCATAGGAGAGACGGATGGATGTCTTGGGTGCTTTCAGGATCCATGAAGAGGAGTCGGCAGTGGTGTGCCCGGTGATTGATGTGATCGACTGGAACACCTTCGAATACCTGGGGAACTCCGGGGAGCCCCAGATCGGCGGTTTCGACTGGAGGCTGGTGTTCACGTGGCACACAGTTCCTGAGAGGGAGAGGATACGGATGCAATCCCCCGTCGATGTCATCAGGTCAGGAGCTGACTTCTGGGTGACTTGTTTTTTAAGCATGCCTCATTGAATCTGGCTGACCTGTGAGCGGAGGCCCTCGGGAGGAATGGTTAGCTGTCAGCTTAACTACCTCCCCTCTTCCCACTTTTTTGCCCAGAGTATTTGTTTATTTTTATTAAACGTGTCTGCTACACATGTCAATTTTATATCGGTATATTTTATTTATTTAATTTTTAAATTGTGGTAAAATATACATCATAGAGAATTTACCATTTTAACCATTTTGAAGTATGCAATTTTAGGCTGAGCATGGTGGCTCATGCCTATAATCCCAGTACTTTGGGAAGCCAAGGTGGGAGGATTGCTTGAGTCCAGGAGTTTGAGACCAGCCTGGGCAACATAGCAAGAACCTATCTCTACAAAAAAATAAAAATTAGCTGAGCATGCTAGTGTGTATCTGTAGGCCTAGCTAGCTGGAAGGCTGAGATAGGAGGATCGCTTGAGTCAAGGAGTTCAAGGCTTTAGTGAGCTATGATCACGCAATTGTACTGCAGCCGGGCGATAGAGTGACACCCTGTCTCTATAAAAAAATAAATAAATAAAACAAAGCATGCAATTTTAGTGGCATCGAGCACATTCACGGTATTGTGCAAACATGATCTTTACCTATTTCCAGGAATTTTTCATCATCCCACACAGAAAATATCCCCACTAAGCAATAACTTCCCATTCTCCCCTTCCCAGCCCCTGGGAACCTCTGTTCTTTCAGGCGCCCCATGTGAGTGGAATCATACAATATTTGTCCTTTTGTACTTGGCTTCTTTGACTTATCATCATGTTTTCAAGTTTCCTAGAGAACATCATTCCTTGTGATGGCTGAGTAATATTCCTTTGTACATATATGCTACATTTTGTTTATCCATTCTTCTGTTGGTGGACACTTGGGTTGTCCTTTGGTTATTGTTAAATAATGCTGCTATGAACATCGGTGTACTTTTATCTGCTTGAGTCCCTGTTTTCCATTCTTTTGGGTATACACCTAGGAGTGGGATTGCTGGTCATATGCTCATTCTTGAGGAAACATCTTTAGGCCCCTTTGACCTGGGGTGTGGGTGGATCCATGGCAGGTGGAGGAGTCTGCTCTGGCCAGTGGGTGAGTCAAGCTCTGAGTAGAATGGGCCCAAGGGAGGCTCAGCAGCTCTCATTCTGGAGGTTTTGAAGTGATAGCCTGGCTTCTTCCTCCCCTTCCAAGTTCAGAAGCAAGTGGGAGACAGATGTGGGAGTTGGGCAGGAGGAGGTCAGGACTTCAGCCTCACCGCTGGTGTGTTGAACCGGAAGTAGGCTCTGAGTTTTGCGTCCACATTTGGCAGTTGGGCTTCTGAATTCTTTCACCAGAGTCCTGACCTTAAGATGACCCGCTGCTGGCAGGAGTGGAGCAAGCAAGGAGAGTGTCCAGAGATAAGGCTGGAGAGATGGGCGGGGCCAAGGGAAGGGGTTTGGACTTGACCCTGAGCAGGTAGAAGCCACTGAAGGGATCGGAGCAGGAAGTGACCTGAGCATGTGCTGCGTGCCATGTGGTGAGGGCCCTGGGGGGACCGTTGTAGGCAGGGATACCATTAGGAGGCTCTGCAGTCTTCCAGGTCAGAAACAATGGTTCAGGAGATGGTGGGCACTGTGGATTCCAGAGATGTTAAGATGGAAGAATTGGAAGAAATTGAGTGGGAATTGGGGAAGGAAGGAATTAAGAATGGCACCCAGGCTTCTGTAGGAGCCCTTAGTGAGAACATCCTGCTCAATCCCTCACTGAATAGGTTTGGAAACTGAGACACAGAGCAGGAGGCTCTAATCTAGGCTACTTAGGCAGCCTGTCATGAATTCATGGGGGTCCATGAATTCTAATTGCCCCGTTACCCCACATGCTCAGGGCACCTATCCTCCCCATCCCATAATATCCCTGTGCCTCAGTTATCTCATCTGTATAATAGGTACCAGCATATCCACCCTGCTTATTTCCTAGATTTTTAGGATAAACACACGTGAAGGTGCTTTGTAGTCTAGAACCTTCCCTTCCACTGGGGATGTTGCTGTTGTCTTCTCAGTTGGCCCCATGCTTGGAGTCCAGGGCAGGCCCCGATGCTGCAGGATGTTAACATTTTCAGTGGTTGCGCTCTCAATGTTCTCTTTCCCTATTTTTTTTTTCAAGTTGGGGTCTCGCTTTGTCACCCAGGCTGGAGTGCAGTGGCATGATCTCAGCTCTCTGCAACCTCTGCCTCCTGGATTCAAGTGATTCTCCTGCCTCAGCCTCCTGAGTAGCTGGGATTATAGCTGTGGGCCACCACACCCAGCTAATTTTTGCATTTTTTTAGTAGAGACAGGTTTTCGCCATATTAACCAGGCTGGTCTTGAACTCCTGACCTCAGGAGATCTGCCCGCCTCAGCCTCCCAAAGTGCTGGGATTACAGGTATGAGCCACCGTGCCCAGCCCTTTCCCTATTTCTGAATTCATCCTTTTGCCTGTGCAACTCTGGGACGTGCTGACCTTACAGTGTTCTGCCGTGTAGGCTGGAAGCCGTGGGCCGTTTCTGGTTAGTGCTGGCTTCCAGATAAACCTGGTGGTGGGTGGCGGGAAACAAGGCTGGCTGAAAAAGCAGCCTGAGGCTGGCTAGCTGGGTCCTAGTGGAGGAAACCACTCAAGAGGACCTGGCCCTCGGGGCACTTTCAGATGCCAGAGTTGCCTTTAGGGCCTTCTGCATACTGGCCTCTGAGTGGCATCTGTGAGTGCCTGCCTTGTGAGATCACACCTCCTCAGATGACCATGGCCTGGAGCCTGCCTTCTTCTCGGAACGTGGTCTCTTGCTTCTCTCTTCTCCTTGCTCTCTATGCTTCTAAATGTCCCTGGATTTCTCCCACCCTTAAGCCTTTGCTCATGCTGGAGAACCATTCCATTTCCCTTCTTCTTCTTGGCTAACTGTCCTTTGTCCTGCAGACCTTGCTTCCTCCAGGGAACCTAGTCCTGCCCTTTTGCCCCTGCCCTCCTCAGTGTTCTCCCAGGGCCCTGGCTGACCTTAGTTAACATATTTAGCACACACATAGTACTTACCTGCTGAGAAGCCTGGGAGCCACCTCAAGGCAGGGACCGTAGGGTACATCTATGCCTCCAGGCCCAGCCTAGTGTGGGGCACAGAGGTGAAGGCGGGATATGCTTAGAGATGACAGATGAACAGATGAAAGGGCTCGTGGTGGGAAGGTAGTTGGATAACTGTGATGGTTTTCTGCTGTCTACAGTGAAATAAGGATATCATACTTTTTTAGGTCTCCAACAATGGCTGGTGGGCTGTTTGCTGTGAGTAAGAAATATTTTGAATATCTGGGGTCTTATGATACAGGAATGGAAGTTTGGGGAGGAGAAAACCTCGAATTTTCCTTTAGGGTAAGTATTTCAGTCTTCTCTTTGGACATGTTCTTAACTGATTCTCTCTTTGGGAACGATGGGATTTGCTGTAAGAGCCTGGTGGACCCTGAAAGATGATGACACGCATATCCTATAAACATGCTTGCTTTCTTGTTTTAGCTTTTTAAAAAGTGTACTTTTTCTAGATTTGGGGCCAGCAAGGGCCTTGCGAGTCACATAGTTCTCTCTCACTCTATGGAGAGGAGGAAATGAAACCAGGAGAGAGGTGACTTGCTCAGGGTTAGGTTCCTCCTGATCCTGTCTTCTGGAGCCTTTACTTGATTAATTCCTTATGAAGTGGCCTCTTTATTTAGCACAGTGCCTTTCAAACTTTGACAGATGTAAGAATTTCTTTTTTTTTTTTTTGAGACGGAGTCTCGCTCTGTCGCCCAGGCTGGAGCGCAGTGGCACGATCTCAGCTCACTGCAACCTCCGCCTCCTGTGTTGAAGTGATTCTTCTGCCTCAGCCTCCCGAGTAGCTGGGATTATGGGCATGTGCCATCATGCCCGGCTAATTTTTGTATTTTTAGTATAGACGAGGTTTCACCATGTCATCCAGGCTGATCTCAAACTCCTGACCTCAGGTGATCCACCCGCCTTGGCCTCCCAAAGTGCTGGGATTATAGGTGTGAGCCACTGCACCCAGCCAACACATGTAAGAATTGCTGGGTAAACTTGTTAGAAAGACAGATTCACAAGCACAATCTAGAATTCTAGCTAGATTTGATAGCTTTAGGGTGGGACCAAGATTCTGCTTTTTGTAACAAGCCTTCCTACTGATGCTACTCTACATGGCCCGTGAAAACCGTATTGGAAAACTCCTAGCATTTCAGTAGATTTTCCAGTTAATGAAGTCTTACATTTTAAGCATCAAAACTTTGTGTAAATGTTGGTGCTTTTCAGTGGAAAATTAAGATTTTTAATAATATTTTATATGGTGTTCTGCCCTCATAAAAACTGAATAAACAAGAATTTGGCCTTCTACCGAGGACTCACGCCCTCTGTAATAAGTACCAGATGCTGTGCTTGGTTGTCCCATCTTTGGGAAAATGAGATATTCAAGGCTGTCAGTCCCAGTGTGAGATGGGCTCAGATGCCTTCGCCTGTTGAGTCTTTGGGTGTGCTTTTAATGGTCTCTCTGCCTCTTCCTTAGGTGTCAGGCTGCTCTACCTGTTTCTAGACGCTCTTCCTTTCCCCCTTCCAAACCTCTTTTCTTCCTTGCTGCTTTCCTATCTTCTGTGGCTAGGAGATCAGGTAATCAAGCCTGTGTTTTCTGTAATGAGTAAGTGGGTTGCCAGCGAGGTCTCTGTGGATGCTCCTGTGAGTCAAGTGCATGAGCTTTAGTGCATGGACTTTGGGGTCTTGGTTCCCACAGCTTATATGTTTTGGGGGCTGCTTTCTTGCTCTTTACCCACATTCTGTGTCATGAGTGTGCCGGGTAGGTGGCCTCCTGCCCGATGGAGGCTGAGCATCTTGGCAGTGTCCATCATGCCTTGCGTGTGCCTGGCCTCTTTGCTGCAGATACTATGGACCCGCAGCTCATCCCCTGCTCACCACCTGGCCTCTCCTTTTCTCTGTGTGCAGATCTGGCAGTGTGGTGGGGTTCTGGAAACACACCCATGTTCCCATGTTGGCCATGTTTTCCCCAAGCAAGCTCCCTACTCCCGCAACAAGGCTCTGGCCAACAGTGTTCGTGCAGCTGAAGTATGGATGGATGAATTTAAAGAGCTCTACTACCATCGCAACCCCCGTGCCCGCTTGGTGAGTTCCTCGGCCCACCTGCACTCCATCTGGCTTCATCTGAACAACAGCAGCTAATCGTGGCTTCCCCAACATAGTCGATCTGGTTCCAGAAATAGAGAATAAATTGGGTGCTCAGATACGAGTAAGGGGAGAATTTATTCCTCCATTTATAATAATTATATGCAGTCAAATCTTCTTATTTACAGCTGTTATAGTGCATAAAGCCACCACAAATGCTGAATTCATGAAAACAGAGCCATTGTTCTTAGGGGAAATACAGGGTTAGGTTCCTGCCAGACTTGGGGCACAGTTTTGTCAGCAGATCAATACAGAACCTTGTTTTCTATGTGTTTCTGTTCAAAGACACCTGTTTAACATATATCGTTGCATCATTAACATTGCACTCATGGCTAACAGCACGGTAACTCATGCCAGAATGAAGCTTACCTAGCACGTGTTATTTTCTCTTCATCACAACCTTCTTGCATTTAGGAACACTAGGTAGCACTTCAGCACTACGACTGGGGGACATTCTAGAATAGCTGGTGCAGTCACCAATACAAAGCAGGAAAAAATGTGGTGCCCAACAGATGGTGAAAAGAACACTGGTTTACAGGATGAGAGCTGAAACAAGAAGGCGGTGTGTGCCCTTGTTATATATCACCTGGAAATGGGAGTTAAGTGTTGGGCAACTCAAATTTTTTGTCCATGAATGTGTGTGAAAATTAGAAAACACCACAAGTATTGATTTGGAGGTTACAAATCAATTTTATTATAGCATGTAGGGAAATTCAGATACAGAACCAGTAAATAATGAGGATGGACTGTACCAACATAGATAGTTGGGGATACCTGGTGTCACAGGCCAGGCATTGTCCATGTGTTTTGGTTTTCCTCTTTGTAGCCAGTAGGGTGAGTCCACAAACACAGGGTACAAGTTAAGGCACAGTTCTTTACCTTAAAGCTATTGCTCAGGGACACATCCGCCTTATTAGTTAGGGGTCTGTTACCTCCCTCTAGAGCCTTCTTGTTAGCACCCTGGAAGCTTCCTTTTCTAAAACAGGGAGTCTGTTCTGCTTCCATTTCCAGATGGAAGGACTACTGGAGAGTGGCCCAGGCCCCCGCTGCTACTCTTTCTCACCATATGTCATGGTCATGGAAACCCCCCCACCGCCAGCCTAACAGATGTCTATCTTCCTCCCCACTCAGAGGCCTTGCTGGGCCCATCTCTCTGACCAATGGTGAAGGTGTGCCTGCAGTCACTGAAGTCTCAGCTCAGTTGGCTTGCTCCCCTGGGTCTCAGCCACACACTACAGGGACACTGGCCCATCCACCCACTGCACTGAGTCTGTCGGAGGCTGAGGTTCAGCCCAGACTGTGTCCTTCCTCATAGCGATTTATCTCAGGGACTTGTTTTCTGGTCCGGATCCTTGCTCTGCCTCTACCTCCGGGACCATTGTGGATGAGGGATCTGCCTCTTCTTTCCCAGGTCTTGGGCTTCAGATGAAACACAGTCCACTGCCTCTGCCCCAGCCAGCTCTGCATGCTCCATGGCAGGGTGCCTGCTTGCCCTGCATTTGCATAACTAGTAGGGCTGCTTGGCAATACAAGAAGGTCTTGCTCTAAGGCTTCTCATCAGGCCACTTCATGGAAGTCTCTTCTGAGTCCTTCCAGCAACCCTGCAGGGTAGCAATAAAATTCTCATTTTATAGATGAGAAAACTGAAGCTCAGAGAGACGCTGTTGGAAGGAACTTGTCCAGGCCCTGTGGCTGATAGGAGGTAGAACTGGGCTTGGGGCCTGTACTCTGCAGCGCACCTCTTGCTCTGCTCTGCAGAGCCCATGGGTTCTCAGCTGGACTCCCACTCAGCCCCTCTCTGGCTCTGGGCTCCATGGTCATTTGCTTCTGCCTCCTCCGTCTTGCCCAGCACCATAGAGTAGAAACACCCACTCTTTCCTCATGCACAGTCTGGAACCCATAGTTCCCTTTTCCTGAGGGTTCCCAGAGAATATTTTAGGGGGGCACTGAATGCACCCTTAGGCTTCATGTCCAAGGCCAAGTGCTAAATGGATACTTGGCTGAAGCTGGGGGCGCAGTGACTTTCACCAGTGAAAGAACTCTGGGAAATAGCAGAAATCTGAAATCTTATTCAAACATGTACTTATTATTACCATTTTGTTCAATATTTAACTTGTCAGCTTTTAATTGTTTAACATGACAGTGCAGGTACGGTAATATTTCTGCACTCAGCATTTTTCTTGTGGCTGCACATTTGCGATACTAAATAGAGGCTTGCTGTATTTAATTATTCAAAAGCTCTCAGTCATTAGTTTTGCCCATAAAACCAAACTTGCATAAGTATTTCTTTTTGCTTATTTCATACTGAGAACATGATTACATCTAGAATATTTACCTGTGTTTGAAAGTGGATATTCAGATATTAGTAGTAAACCAGAAAGTCATGGCATATGTTTCGGTGAAACTGACATTTCCCTGGTTGGGTTTCAGGATGACTTCTGATCACAAGCATGGGTCACAGGTCCGGGATCCATAGATGCCAGTGCAGCCCCAGGGCTTGGCTCCTTCACTCCATCAGCAGGCGGGTTGTCCTCTACCCTTGTGCACCTGGTCACACCCCCCTGCCAACAGAGCACCTAGGAATGGAATTGTCTGTGTGACAGCCTCTCATACTAGAAGCTAGAATTAGGTGCAAGGATGTTTTCTATCCTCTGTGCTCCACACAGGGCCTGGCATGCGACGAATGCTCCATCAAAGCTGGCTGGTGGTTAGTAAGTGAGCATCAGTGAACACAGGGGCTTTGAAAGGAAGCACTAGGACCCATGGGGTCTCACTGTTTTGTTGTTTTCTCAGGAACCTTTTGGGGATGTGACAGAGAGGAAGCAGCTCCGGGACAAGCTCCAGTGTAAAGACTTCAAGTGGTTCTTGGAGACTGTGTATCCAGAACTGCATGTGCCTGAGGACAGGCCTGGCTTCTTCGGGATGGTGAGTGAGGGTGGTGGGCCCACGGCAGGCAGGGACTTCCCTGGCCTCTGGGTCTGCTCTGCAAATCCTGGGCAAGAAAGGCCACGTCATGGGGAGCACTGGCTTCCTCCACTCCCACCCGCCTGCCCACCCCCCACCACCTTTTTATCCACTGCCCTTCTTTCTCCCTGTGAGCGTCTGGGCCGTAGGTGCAGAATGTCAGAGCTGGAAGCCATCTCAAAATTGACAACTATTTTGTAGGTAAGGAAACTGAGGCTTATCTGGTGTTTCCATGTCCTAGTTTTTACCAACGCCTTATCATATTACTTCTAGTCTCAATGGCTGGACTAGTTAATAATTCCAAGTTTGGAAGTCTACAGAGGCAATAGTGGGTATAGGGGAGTCACTTCGAGTATTTCAAAAAACCTAAAAAATGTTTTTGGGATGAGACCAGATAAAATGTCCAGTGTCTTTTGTTTTTGCTGGGAATGACACCAGCTTAGCAAGGTCTCCTCTGCTGTGATGTGTTGATCAGAAGTGCTGGTGTTCCATTCTAGAAGTCTTTGATACATATAAAGCAGGATATTCATGTTACATTCTATTTTCATTATGAAAATATTCAAACATATAGAAATGCAGAGAGAATGGTATGAGAATGGTATAATGAATACCATCCCTGAGATTCTAGAATTTTCAAGATCCTGCCTCTCTTTATCTCTTTCTCTCTCCTGTACTTCACCTCCACATTTTCCTCTTTTTAAGCAAATCCCGGGCATTGTGTCATTTCTCTCCTCTGCATTTTATGCATTTTCATAACATTTGGACATTATCTTACAAAACCGTAGAAATGAACAAGTATTTCTTGGTATCATTTAATGTCTAGTTCTAATACATATTCCCCCAACTTTTCCAGTTTCTCTTTGAGTGGCTGGCTAATTCGAATTGGGATCCAAACAAGGTGCACACATTGCATGTGATGGTTGTGTCTTGTCTCCTAAATCTCTTTTAATCTAAGGCAGCCCTCTTCCTTTTTCTTGTTAATATCTTTAACTTGTTGAAAAAACAATATGTTACCTGTGGAGTGTCTCACTCTTGCAATTGCTATTTTTTTCTTTGTGGTGTCTTCAAGTTGTGCCTCTCTCCCCCATATTTCTTTAAGATAGAAGTGAGTTCTAAAGGTTTGATTAGAGTCAGGATCCACCTTTTTGGCAAGAACACTTTGTGGGTGATGTTATGTGTTCATGTTGTGTCATATCAGGAGCATAGGAAGTATGGTCATCTTTAGTGATAAGGTTGACCAGTGGGTTAATGGAGTATCCCTCACCTGGACCAGTCATTATAAGACCCCCATCAGCCTCTGTCTCATGTTTTTAGTAGCCACTGATAACCATTGCCTAGGCCCATTATTTCAAATGGAGTTGCCAAATGGTGATTTTTCTCTTTCATTTCTTCCACATTTATTAGCTGAAATTTTTCATAAAGAAGAACACTCCCTCATTAACTAAAGCAATTTGGTATATGTGAGTTTTAGAATTCATACAGAAAAGGCACGACAAATTCTTTTTTTTTTTTTTGAGAGAAAAGTCTTGCTCTTGTCCCCCAGGCTGGAGTGCAATGGCGCGCTCTCAGCTCACTGCAACCTCTGCCTCATGGGTTCAAGCAATTCTCCTGCCTCAGCCTCCCGAGTAGCTGGGATTATAGGCACCTGCCACCATGCCTGGCTAATTTTTTTTTTTTGTATTTTTAGCAGAGACGGGGTTTCACTATGTTGGCCAGGCTGGTCTTGAACTACTGACCTCAGGTGATCTGCCTGCCTCAGCCTCCCAAACTATTGGGATTACAGGCATGAGCCACCATGCCCGGCCAAGGCATAACAAATTCTTAAGTCTTTTCTTTATTTGCTTATTTTCAGAGTAAGAGTTGGTATTTTAGTTTCCTCCAGTTGTATCTACTGGGTTGTTTTTTTTTTTGTTGTGGCTCATTGTTTTTTTTGGCTTTTTCTCTTCTTGAGTGTCATTGTAAACTAATGGGTGTTTAAATAGCCGGTGTGCTTCAATCAATTCATCTTTTCTTCTTTGTATTGTTTTTTGAGACAGGCTTCTATTCTGTCACCCAGGCTGGAGCACAGTGGCACCATTGTAGCTCACTGTAGCCTGGATCACTGGGCTCAAGTGATCCTCCCACCTCAGCTTCTTAAGTAGCTGGGACTACAGGTGAGCACCACCACACCTGGCTAATTTTTTATTTTTATTTTTAGTAAAGACTAAGGTCTCGCTATGTTGCCCAGGCTGGTCTTGAACTCCTGAGCTCAAGCATTTCTCCTGCCAAGGCCTCCCAAAGTGCTGGGATTACAGGTATGAGCCACTGTGCCCAGCCCAATTCATCTTTTTAAAAAATATATGAAAATTGTTTTTGGCCAGTGGGAGTCCCTTTATTTTGGCTTCTGAGGTCTTTGACACCTTACAGTGGCGTTGATAGCCTCCTTGATTCTGGCCAAGTTGTCCCATTCGAGTTTTAAACATTTCCTGCCATTCCTCCCAGAAGCCCTGCTCCTTTGTTGGGTAACGGTATTGGGAGTCAGTCTGGATGCTGGCGGTGCCCGTTGCTATGCGTTGTCATTGCCTCCAGACCATGCAGTTTAACAGAAATATAATGAGAGCCACCGTTGTAACTTAAATTTTTTTAGTAACCATATTAAAAAAAAAGTAAAGTTAATGAAATGTTTAACTCAGTATATCCCAAATAATATCATTTCAACATATAATTAATATAAGTATTTATTCATTGAGGCATTTTACATTCTTTTTTCATACTAAGCCTTGAAATCTGGTGTGAATTTTATACTTATAGCATATCTCAATTTGGATTAGTTACATTTCAAGTGTCCAGTAGCCACAGTGGCCAGTGGCCGCCACATGAAATAGCACAGCTCTAAATTTTTCTCATTGGGCAGAGAAAGGAAATTCGTATTTTTGAGAAACAGATCATGAGCTTATATTAATATCTGAAAATCCAATGTAGTCTTGAAAAATTTTCTTTGATAGCATACTCATATTTCTTTTTTCTTACCCTGAAAATCTTGGTTTTAAACAATATTAACATAATTACTTATTTTCTTTATCCTAAAATATATTGAAAATAGTTTCAAGATAATTAATACAGTACTACAGCTTAGAGTATTATACTGAATGAGGTTTATAATTTCTTTGCAGCTCAGTTTGTTTATAGAATATATTTCATAGGTGGTATTTTCAAACATACCATGCTCTAAAGTGATTTAAATTAATTCTTTTTTTTTTTTTGGTGGTGGGGAGGACAGAGTCTTGCCTTATTGCCCAGGCTGGAGTGCAGTGGCATGATCTCAGCTCACTGCAACCTCCGTCTTCTGGGTTCAAGTGATTCTCCCGCCTCAGTCTCCCAAGTAGCTGGTACTACAGGTGCACCCCACCACACCTGGCTAAGTTTTGTATTTTTAGTAGAGATGCGGTTTTGCCGTGTTGGCCAGGCTGGTCTAGAACTCCTGGCCTCAAGTGATCCACCTGCCTCCGTCTCCCAAAGTGCTGGGATCACAGGCATGAGCCACTGAACCCAGCCTAAAATAATTCTTTCTTTGTGTCTATCGCCTGCTTGATTTAGTTAGCTTAATTAATCTAGTTCGAGGTATCAACCCAGGTATATTTGGACTTGCACAGCAGTAAGGCTGCTACTAATGAGAAAGAAAGAGAGAGGAGCTTTCAGGCCATGAAGAGTTTATCTCTCTGGTCCTCAGGCTTATCAACTTAAAATAGGGGTAAGGATTCTTGCCTGCAGAACAAGGAAGCACTTTTAAAGCTAGAAGGTGCTGTACAGAAAAGACTCTTACCTTTGCGTCTAGCTCTTGAAGCAGGCTCTCCTCTCATGCCAGGTACCCTCCCCAAGCCTTGTGTGGCATCTGTTAGTGTCTATAAATCTGGACTGAAATGCCACATTTATGTTTTATTTAGCTCCAGAACAAAGGACTAACAGACTACTGCTTTGACTATAACCCTCCCGATGAAAACCAGATTGTGGGACACCAGGTCATTCTGTACCTCTGTCATGGGATGGGCCAGAATCAGGTAGGTATGAGCCTCAAAAGAGGAGAAAGCTGTGTGTTTTGTTAAAAAAATTAAATAGTTGAATTTTTTTCTTGTAAAAGTAATATTTGGGAAATATAAAAAGTAGAAGCCTAGGGTGGCCAGACTCAGAGAGACCACTGTTAAAATTAAAATGTGTTTTCTTCCCATCATTTTTTACACATAACACACAGAGATTATGTGTTGTAAATAGTTGTCATAATGTCTGTATGTTTTATATTCCATTATTTCCATTCCCTTCATCTACTTTTCTTATGTTATTAGATACCCCTTGAGAATATCATTCCTAGTGGCCACTTGATATTTCATTTTGTACCTGTATTACTGTTTCGTTAACTGGTTCCCTGCCTCCCTGTCTTTGCAATTATAAATAACCCTGCCTCTAACACCTTGGGTCAGACAGAAGGAAGGATAAAGTAACAGATCTGCATTTCAGATGATTTCCTTAGAATTAATTGTTAAGTGGAATGACAGGTTTAATGCATAGGGCCACCTTGCAAGGTGGTGTTTAGGGACATTGCCTCAGCTGGGGGCCAGGTGTATCTGTCTGGGTGAAGGGCTGTAATTCAGGCTGGGCAGGGGAGATTCAGTCCTGGGGGAGTCTGAAGACCAGAAAAGGACCCCCAGCCCTGGAAAGCAGTTGACAGGACCCTTGGAGGATGCAGGAATGGAGAGAAGTGTTGGTTCTGGGCCTCTGAAGCTTCACCGTACCAAGGAGTTATCAGACACCAGGAAACAAAGGGATAGAGATTCAGATGTTGTTTTTTCCAATCTGGATTCACCCCAATGCCACTTGAATATGAGGCCTTCTTATGGTCAAGAGTAAACTTTCTTAATTCCAACCCCTGCAACCTTAAATTATTTAGGTTTTCAACACTGTTTAGAACAGCCTTCCTCAAAGCTGATGGTACCTGAGTGCTACCATCAGCATCATCTGGGAGCTTGGAAATGCACATTTTCAGACTGATCCCAACACTACCGAATCCCAGACTCTTGTTTTAAGCAGCTTTTCAGGAGATAATGGTGTGACAAGCCCTGCTCTGTGCGCCTTAAGAACACCCACCTGTGTCAGAATTTTTGAAAGGGGCTGGTGGGGTGGGTGGGTGTCTTGTCAAAGATGCAGAAAATGCAGCTTCCTAGGCCCCACCTCACACATAAGGAATCCTTATTCCGTCTCTGGGATGGGGCCAGCAATCAGCATTTTTAACAGTCACTGTAGGTAGTTCCTAGTACACTCAGGTAGGAAAACCATTGTCCGGGAAGAACCAAGTCTTCCCGTTAGCGGTCACATTGTCTGCTTGTGCACAGCACTTTACATCTTCTAGGAACTGTCATATTGGGGGTTTGGGAGGAGAGACTGAGGAAAAGGAGAGGAAGTAGCTAGTCAAGGTCACAGAGAGCCCCCAAGAGCTAGTGCTGCGATGGGTCCATTTCCCTTCCTCCCATCCCACACCAACACAGCATTCAGCACTGCAGGCAGGAGGTGACATGCACCAGCCCTGTCTCCCTGTCTAGCAAGCTGGGCAGGCATGGGAAGGGCCATTTCCTCCACGCTCATGAAGCACTGCAGTAGCGGTTCACTGAGGGCTGTGGGATGCGGAGGAACCCATCACACAGGCTCGTGTTGGTGGTGACGCAGGTGCATGACCCCACCCATGCTCTCGTGATCCCAGGTTCTTGTCCAGCGATCTTTCCTCTTCCCACATCAGTGGAAAATGTTGTGTTACATGTTGGCTGCCCCATTTTTAGTTTTTCGAGTACACGTCCCAGAAAGAAATACGCTATAACACCCACCAGCCTGAGGGCTGCATTGCTGTGGAAGCAGGAATGGATACCCTTATCATGCATCTCTGCGAAGAAACTGCCCCAGAGAATCAGAAGTTCATCTTGCAGGAGGTAGGTGAACTCTCTCCTTCCTTCCTGCTGACAGTCCCTGGGCTATAAGGGAGAGTGTGAGAGTCAGACGTTCTCTCTGGCATAGTCCTGGTGAGGATCAGGGATGTGGCCATGCATGGACAGGAGCTCTGGAAGACCTGGAACCTCAGTCCCAGTGAGCCTGGGGGGCGGTGATGGCAGGAGATTGGAGTCCCCTGGCACACGGTGTCATTAGCACTGCCTTCCTTCCTCATTGTCCAGTCCCTTTTAGTCTTTTCCATTTCCCTTGCACCCCCATGAGCTGCAGGCACCGACATGGAAACAGCTCTTACAAATGCATTCAGAGATGAAAGGGCTTTAAATGAGTAAGCCAAATAGCCCAAGTGTAAGGATGTTAGCCAAAGTGTTAGATCCAGATATAAGCCACCCCACCTCTCTAAGCCTTGTTTTTCCCAGCTTTAAAATAGGTACAATAGGCCAGGCACAGTGGCTGACGCCTGTAATCCCAGCACTTTGGGAGGCCAAGGCAGGTGGATCATCCGAAGCCAGGAGTTCGAGACCAGCCTGGCCAATATGGCAAAACCCCATCTCTACTTAAAAAAAAAAATAGCCAGGTGTGGTGGCATGCCCCTGTAGTCCCATCTACTTGGGAGGCTGAAGCAGGAGAATCACTTGAACCGGAAGGCGGAGGTTGCAGTCAGCCGAAATCATGCCACTGCACTGTAGCCTGGGAGACAGAGCGAGACTCCGTCTCAAAAAAAAAAAAAAAAAAAGGTGCAATAATAGCAGACTTACTTTACTGAGGATTAGATGCATAGCCAGAAATATTCTTTGGAAACTATAAAGCTCGATAGAGATTAGTTGTTGCTTGTGGTATTATAACCAAGAAAACACCTCTGATAGAGTAGTCTCCCTGGATAGTCACAGTTGATTTGAAACTGAGGGTTACCTCAGACCTGAGGGTGCTGGCCCCACCACACTTGCAGTCAGCTTGCATCAGGACTTGTAAATCGATCATATCCTTTGACTCACTAAAAAGCATGTGAGGGAATAAATCCAAAGAAAATCATTTGAAAGAAAAAAATTCATTGTTTTTTATCTCCCTGGGCAGCTTTCACTCCCAATATACTGCTTATAAATGGGTTTATTCTAAAGATGATTAAAAGCTGGAATATGTTTTCCTGCAGAAAAATGTTGTCACTAGCAATGACATTTGCAGGCTGCCCAGAAAAGCCACACACCATGGTGTTACCTATTGAATACAGGAAAATAAGAAGGAAAAATACTTCTGCACACCCCAGACGTCTCTGATCTTCTTGAATGTCCTCCTCTTCCCATCTTTCTCCCAACCAGAAGCCATTGTAAGCCCTCAAGGAATGGTAGTGGACACTAGAAACAATAAAATCAGTTTGACATATCAAAAATTTTATCTTAAATTTCAGTGACCATTTAAGGAAAAGGAAGTTTGTTCAGGAGGCTGGGAAGAAGGATACTGAATTGGATTTTTTACCTTTCTTCAGGACGCTTAATACTTTGATTCATATGTGAAAAGGATACAGCTTGATTTATTATATTTCATCAGTCATGCCCTAAATATATATATATAAAACAAATATATATTGAACAGAAACATATGTGAATTCTGAAGGAAATGTCCCCACTTATATTCACTAGACCATAATAGAAAGCTTAGTTCTTAGGGCTGGATCTTTTTTTTTTTTTTTTTTTTTTGAGACGGAGCCTTGCTCCACCAAGGCTGGAGTGCAGGGGTGCAATCTCAGCTCACTGCAACCTCTGCCTCCTGGGTTCAAGCGATTCTCCTGTCTCAGTCTCCTGAGTAGCTGGGACTACAGGCGCCCGCCACCACGCCCAGCTAATTTTTTGTATTTTTAGTAGAGATGGAGTTTTGCCATGTTGGCCAGGCTGGTCTTGAGCTCTTTGGCCTCAAGTGATCCACCTGCCTCAGCCTCTCAAAGTGCTGCGATTACAGGCGTGAGCTACTGTGCCCAGCCTTGTATTTTCTTATGTAGGCCTAAAAACCTCTGAAATGTCATTTCTTGGATTCTACAAAACATGAGTTTGGATTTTTTTGAATGAAAAAAGTTCCATTTAGTGAACAGCACATCACAAAGGTTTTTCACTGATGTTGTTATTCACTCTGCCTGTTTGCTGCTCAGCCATGATTAAGTTCGTTGCATACAGCTTATAACAGAGAGGCAGAGGGAAAAGATAAACACCAGGCCTGAGAGAGAGACTTGCTGAGATAATTGAGCAAGGGCTGGCAGAAAGGAGAGAAGCAGGAGGTCATTAAAGAAGACCATCGTCTTTGGGGTTTGGGAATTGGCACAAGGCATATAACCCACTGATTCTCTGATGTGTGACAGGTGAGTAGCTCAGGCCAAGTGACTGGCTTCCTCATCCATCTGGTCTGTGGCTGAGCTGGGACTACAGCCAAGTTTCCACACTCTGTTTAAATACCTAAGAGAAAGAGATCACCCTGCACGGAATGAGTTGACCTAAGAGGAGTGAAAGAGATAAACAAAGGATCTTTGTTCCTGATTTCCCTGAAGGAAGCCAAATGCAATAGGGAGATGTAGGGTATGACACATGCCCAGAGCAGCCAGCAGGTGGCACCATCGGTCCTGTGAGAGGCAAGCGGGACGCAGCCTGTACAAGCCTGGTGCTGTGTCCCCGGGACAGTCCTGAGTTGCTGCGTTACACGGAAGACACTTACCCCTCAATAAATATTTCTGAAATGGTAAAAATCAGACCCTGATCTCTTTAAAACATGTCTTTAGGAAAAAGAGACTTTTCTGATGACTTGCCTGTCATTCTGTTATCTTTTGTAGGATGGATCTTTATTTCACGAACAGTCCAAGAAATGTGTCCAGGCTGCGAGGAAGGAGTCGAGTGACAGTTTCGTTCCACTCTTACGAGACTGCACCAACTCGGATCATCAGAAATGGTTCTTCAAAGAGCGCATGTTATGAAGCCTCGTGTATCAAGGAGCCCATCGAAGGAGACTGTGGAGCCAGGACTCTGCCCAACAAAGACTTAGCTAAGCAGTGACCAGAACCCACCAAAAACTAGGCTGCATTGCTTTGAAGAGGCAATCATTTTGCCATTTGTGAAAGTTGTGTTGGATTTAGTAAAAATGTGAATAAGCTTTGTACTTATTTTGAGAACTTTTTAAATGTTCCAAAATACCCTATTTTCAAAGGGTAATCGTAAGATGTTAACCCTTGGTATTTAGAAAATTAAAACCTTATAATATTTTTCTATCAAGATGTATATTTTACAGTCGTGCCTTTTACTCTCATTAGCAAAAAAGATAAAGATTTTATTTTGGTATTTACAAGAATTCCCAGGTACGAAGATATCTGCATGGGTGGAAATCAGGTTCAAGCAACGTACTTTGCATTAACTGATAATACCTCAGCTGCGGGGTTAAAGTTTTCCCAGTATAGAGAGACTGTCACTAGGAACATTGTATTGATTTATTCAGGTCATTGAGATCTTCTAGATGTATTTTAAAAAGAATGCTTTTTGGTTATGTGTTGCTACCACAGTTAACACTCCATAATGTTCATGTCAGCCAAAGAGGACTAACCAAAGCTGAAATCTCAGAGAACAATTTGCTTTACTAAGCTGAGTCAACTTGAGAGCGAACTTCTAACAATGCCGCACTGTAGTGTGGCTGGTTCTACCACTATGACTTTAAAACATGTTTATATCATTTTTAATTTTTATGATACGGTAGTGTCAGGGAGAAATGTAATGTTCTATATGAAATTCCTTTTTCAAGTTTGTTCATTAATAACAGTTATTAATTTAAATCAGCGTTAGAGTTTGTGCTGCTGCAACTGCTGTGAAAATTTCTCTGAGTAATTCTGATTTGTGAATGATCCCAGACCAACCCTGAGATTTTGTCAACCTGATTAAGTCAATATGAATGATTAAAAAGATGTGAGAACACTGACTGCAGATCTTTTTGTACTGTAAACCAAAAATAAAATTCTAGGGCCGGGTGCGGTGGCTCACGCCTATACTCCTAGCACTTTGGGAGGGCAAGGAGGGCAGATCACTTGAGGTCAGGAGTTCGAGACCAGCCTGGTCAACATGGCGAAACCCCGTCTCTATTAAAAATACAAAAATTAGCTGGACGTGGTGGCATGCGCCTGTAATCCCAGCTACTCCGGAGGCTGAGGCAGAAGAGTCTCCTGAACCCAGGAGGCGGAGGTTGCAGTGAGCCAAGATCGCGCCACTCTACTCCAGCCTGGGCGACAGAGCCAGACTTTGCCTCAAAAAATAAAAAATAAAATTCTGGGGTCCCCCATCTGATTGAATGGACTCCTCTCTTGGCCAAGAAGATCCCAAAAAAACCTGAACCTAGTTCAGAACTGAAAAACTAGTTCAGGCCATGATGAGAAGGGAGCAGTATCCAGACAAGCCTCATTACCCTCTCCTCCCTTTGGAGTTTAAAGACAACTGACTGGCATTCACGTTAAAACAGATCTCTTAAGATGGACCAAACAGACTCTTTGTAGCAACACATACCAAATTCCAACCTGACTGGTATAACATCCTATGACCCTGAAGGAAATCCAAGTATTTTGCCACAAAATATATTTCTTTAACATATTCTGAAATGGCCCTGCAAAGCTGTCTCTTGCGGGGGAAATTTACATTCTGTAGAGAATCTCCTTCCCTAACTAGGTCTTTTCAGGAGAGTCTGACACTTTTTAAGGTCTGATAAGAGACCTTCACATCTATTTTCTCTGAAGCCTGCTACCTGGAGCTTCATCTACATAAGAACCTTGGCTTCCACCCACCATCCCCCCCACCCCACCCCACCCCACCCCACCCCTTACTTAGTTCAGCTGACTTGGACTCTTCAGGCAGAGCTTAACTCTTTCAACCAATTGCCAATCAGGAAATCTTCGCATTCGCGTGTGACCTGGAAGCCCCGCCCCCCGCCCCCTTCTTTAAGATGTCCCGCCTTTCCAGGCCAAACCAAGTTATGTCTGCCTGTAACTTCTGTTTCCCTAAGATGTGTAAAATCAAGCTGTAACCAACCACCTTGGGCACATATTCTCAGGACCTCCTGAGGTTGTGTCACAGGCCATGATCCTTAACCTTGGCAAAATAAACCTCTGAATGGATTGAGACCTGTCTCAGATAGTTTTTGGTTTACAGGACCAATCAGATGGGAGCGATGAAGATACACGTGGAATTGATTAAAAGGTATCAATTTGTGTCTCAGGCTCTTTTTGACATACATTCTCCACTCAGATCCTGTCAAGGACCAGTTTAACATTTACCCAGAAACAACTTGGCTTGGGCTGGCTCGAATCCATCTGATGCAACTTAACTTATCTGTACTTCAGTTTCTTCATTGGAAAAACAGGGATAATTAAACCAAGATATGGGATAGCTGTGAGGATTAAATAACACATAGCAGGTCAGGGCTTAGGCCCTGGTGTTACCAGAAAGGGATCTGGATCTTGGATTACGCACAAGAAAGAATTCAGGGTGAGTCCAAAGAGTAAAGTGAAAGCAAGTTTATTAGAGAAGTAAAGAAACAAGAATGGCTATTCCATTCTTGGGGGTCCAGAGTACCCCCGAGGACTACTGGTGGGCTATTTCTGTAGTTATTTCTTGATTATATGCTAAACAAGGAGTGGATGATTCATGAGTTTTCTGAGAAAGGGGCGAGGACTTCCCAGAACTGAGGGCTCCTTCTCATAGACCATATAGAGTAACTTCTTAGCATTGCCATGGCACTTGTAAACTGTCATGGTGCTGGGGGGAGTGTCTTTAGCAGGTGAATGCATTATAATTAATGTATAATAAGCAGTGAGGACCACCAGAGGTTGCTTTCATCCCATCTTGGTTTTGGTGGGTTTTGGCTGGCTTCTTTACTGCATCCTGTCTTATCAGCGGGTTCTTTGTGACGTGTATCTTCTGCTGACCTTCTATCTCATCCTGTGACTAAGAATGCCTAACCTCCTGGGAATGCAGCCCAGCAGGTCTCAGCCTCATTTTACCCAGCCCCTGTTCAAGATGGAGTTACTGTGGTTTGAACACCCCTGACACTGGCCCACAGTATGGGCTTATTAAATATCAGCTTCTATTTTCAGAAATGTACTTTAATATTTATTCAAAAATAAATATTAAGTAGTTTAGCTTTTTAAAATCTTTATGGGATTAAACAGCTCTTTAGCAGGCAGGAATAGCTTTCGACACAGCTCAGTTCTCATAAATGTGAGGCAGTGTGGGCCAAGCTTCCCTTCCTACCGCTGTGGGAACTTGTGAAAACAGACGCAATGCCCCCCCTCAACCCATGAGTTAGGAAGTCCTACCCTGTCTCCCCTCCCCACCGTTTCTGTCACATCAGTGTGAGCTTGATGAAGGGGTGTTGGGCCCTCCCAGATGCAGGGAGACAGTTCAGGCAGACATAAAATTAATGCTGACAAAATCCATCAAGAGTGCAGGGAGGCTGCAGAGGTTGCATGTCTGGAGAGTCTGCCGAGCATGGCAGCTAATTAGTTTTGCTTGAGAAGTCGCCCCTCTAACTCCTGCATCCGCTTACATTCGGTCATTTTTAGGCTCGAAAACAGTCAATATAAAATAGAAATCATATTTTGGGGGGTGTCAAGGGAAATCTTTACACAGACTGGGAGGGAATTTACAACATCTCGAGAAAACGTTCTCTTCACCGATGGGTGAAGAGCCTGAGAAAAAGCCCATAGGGATGTGAGGGAATTCACACATCTATTCACTGTACCCGAGTGGGTTCCCACCTGCCCCCACCTGCCCCCACCTGCCTCCCTGGCAGGTGTGAATCCAGGGCTGATGTGTGGAGTTGGAGTCCTGGGGGCCAGCCCCAGCTGTGGCAGATTGGCAGATTGTTTCGCCTTCTAGGACTCTGTTGTAGTTTCCTCTAATTTGGTCTTGAGGTCTGTCTCAAGAGCATGGGTAAAAACTCTAGCCCTGCCCTGCCAGGGCTCTAGGGATTTGGTCATGAATGTTTATAGTGTGTCTTTCATGGGACACTTCATCCTGGCAGACAGCCTAATGCCTGGGTGTCCAACCCATGACAGGGTGTTCCTCTCACAGAAAACTTGGTTTATACTGGAAGATGCCTTTGTGGCTCTTGTCTGACCTGCTCAGTTTATTCCTACCAAGACAGCCCCTCTCCAGGAGAGCCCTGACGGGGGAAGAAGGTAGGTTTGGGTGTGTTGGTCAGGTGAGACACAGAAGAGGCAACTCAGCAAAACACATGAAATAAGGCTAGGCATGGCTCACACCTGTAATCCCAGCACTTTGGGAGGCTGAGCCAGTGGATCACCTGACATCAGGAGTTCAAGACCAGCCTGACCAACATGGCAAAACCCCAACTCTAATAAAAATACAAAAATTAGCTGGGTGTGGTGGTGGGCTCCTGTAATCCTAGCTACTGGGGAGGCTGAGGCAGGAGAATCACTTGAATCTGGGAAGTGGAGGTTGCAGTGAGCGAAGATCGCACCATTGCACTCCAGGCTGGGTGATAAGCAAAACTCTGTCTCAAAGAAACAAACAACAAAACAAAACAAAAAAAACAAAAAAACCCCACATGAAATAACAGAAAAGCATGTTACTCACAGATCAGAGAGGCCGGGGAAGGAGGCCTCACGGGGCCAATAGGAGGGTGAGAGCTGTCCAGAATATGCATTCAACCAGCATATGGGGAGCAAGAGAGAGGGACCTTTGGGCCAAAGCCTTTTTATTGCCCAGGCTGGAGTGCAATGGTGCAATCTTGGCTCACTGCAACCTCTGCCTCCCGGGTTCAAGCGATTCTCCTGCCTCAGCCTCCCAAGTGTCTGGGATTGCAGGCAGGCACCACCATGCCTGGCTAATTTTTTGTATTTAGTAGAGAGGGTGTTTCACCATGCTGGTCAGGCTGGTCTCAAACTCCTGACCTCAGACACGCCACCCGCCTCGGCCTCCCAAAGTGCTGGGATTACAGGCATGAGCCACTGTGCCCAGCCGGGGCCAAAGCCTTTATTGGGATCCAGGGAAACCAAGCAGTTTTCCCAATGGGAGTTTTAATTGATGGGTTTGGAACAAGCAGGCAGGAGTTCCGGGAGGTCACAGGTGACTGGGAAGTGGTTGCTGTGCATATCTACACAGGTCATGTGAAGTGTAGGGATCGGTGGGCAAGTCAAGTAGGTTGTATCTAGCTGTCCCCTAGGGAGGTAGTCACAAGAAGGCAGTTGTATAAGCAGATATCTGGATCAACCACATTGAGGAACTGGGAAGAGGTGGAGAACTGGAAATTGTGTCTCAAGGGTGACTAAGTCCTGCTTCTGGTATGAAAAATTCCAATTTATATTCAAAACAGATGCTGAGGCAACATAAAATTATAAGAATTCACTACAGACTCATTTTCTTATCTGCATAATGAGGATAAATATGTCCTCTGTTGATTTCTTAGCTATATTTCTTAGTTACTTTTTTAGCGGTTGCCTTAGGGATTCCAGTGTGCTTCCTGAATTCATCACAATTTTCATCAGTTTAGCATGGAGTTAATTCCAGTAAAATTTGGCAAATTTACACCAATGCAGCTCTACTTCCTAGCCCCTCCTCTGTGCTATTATGGACATATATACTATATATATTATATACTCAATAAGAGAAGGGTATAATTACTGCTTTCAACAGTAAAAGAAGATTATATATATATATATATATATATATATGCACACACACACTCACACACACAGAGTCTGTTATATTTACAGACATATGTACCATTTCCCATGTTCTACATTACTTCCTGTGAATCTGAGTAACCATTTGGTGCCATTTTCTTTGAGCATAAGAACTTTAGTAGTTTATCTAGGAGAGGTCAGTTTGCAACAAATTCAGTTTTTGTTTATCCAGGAATATATTTATTCTGCCTTCCATTATTGAAAGAGTTTAGTTGGATCTAGAACTCTAGTTGACAGGTTCTTTATTTTTCCTTTCAACCCTGGAATGTGTGATTGGACTGCTGTAGGATCTCCCTGTTTTGAATGGGAAGGTGTTTGTTGATATTGTTACTTCTGTGTGATAATTCATGTTTCTCTTGCTGCCTTCCAAGATTTTCTCTTTGTCTTTATATTTCAGCAGTTTGATTATGATGTGTCTAGGTGTGGTCTGCTTGTGTTTTTCATACTTGGGGTTTGTTGAACTTTTTGGAATGTAATTTAATGTTTTTTATTAATTTGGGAAGGTTTTAGCCATTATTTCTTTAATTTTTTTTCTACCCCTTTCTGTGTTCTTCAAATTGGACTTCTGCTGGTTTTGTTTGTTTGTTGTTTGTTTGTTTGTTTTTAGAGTCAAGGTCTTACTCTGTCACCCAGACTAGAGTACAGTGGTGCAATCATAGCTCACTGCAGACTTGAACGCCTCCTGGGCTCAAGCAATTCTCCTGCCTCAGCCCCCAAGCAGATGGAACTACAGGCACACACCACCCCCAGCTAATTTTTTTGTATTTTTTTTAGGGTCTTGCTATGTTGCTCAGGCTGGTCTTGAAAGTCTGGCCTCAAGTGATCCTCCCAACTCTGCATTCCAAAGTGCTGGGATTACTGGCATGAACCACTGGGACCAGTCTTTATCTATCTTTAAGTTCACTTATTTCTTCCGCCATCTCAAACCTGCTGTTAAGCCTATCTCATCACCTTTTCATTTCAGTTATTGTAGTTTTCAACTCAATATCCATTTGGTTCTTTATTATAGTGTTTGTTTCTCTGTTGAGGTTCCCTATATATTGACTCATTGTTGGTACATTTTCCTTTAATTGTTTGAATATAGTTTAATTGTTGAATATAGTTTTCTTTAATTCTTTGACTATATTTGTAATGGCCAATTTGAAGCCTTTGTAACTTTGCAGATTAAAACAAGTATATTATTTCATAGTGTCTGTAGGTCCAAAGTCTGGCCATGGCTTAGTTGGATTCTCTGCTTAGAGTCTCACCAATTGAGGTGTCATCTAGGGCTGTGATCTTATCTTGGACTCAGGGTCCTCTTCTAGGCTCACTGGGTGTTGGCAGAAATCACTTCCTTGGGGTGATAGGATGGACCAATGGTCTAAAAGACCATTTCCCATTCCCTGCTATGAGGCCCTCTCCACATGACATTTGCTCATTTAAGGCTAGTAGGAGAGTGTTTGTTACTGATTCTTATCTCTTTCAAGGGGCCACTTGATTAAGTTAGGCCCACTCAGGATAATTTCCCTTCTGTTTACACAGAAGTCAACTGATTAGGGATCTTAATTACATCCACATAATTGCATCACTGGAGTACTATACCATCATACTCACAGATCCTGTTCATACTCAAGGAGAAGGGGATTATGTGGGGTATGTACAACAAGGGGTCCTCTTAGAATTCTTGCCTACCACAGCCCACCCTCTGGCCCCCAACAATTGACATCCCTTCCACATGCAACATACATTTACACCCTCCTAAGATTCCCTGGAGTCTCATTACAGCATGAGCTCAAAGTCTAAAATGTTATCATCTTAATCTAAATATCATTGCCTTAAAGTTCAAAATCTAAATCAAGTCCAGGTACAGATGGGCTTCTGGTTGTTAGCCAATAGGTACAGCCGCTGGGGCACAATTCCTCCCCATCTGTGGTCCTGGGAAACTAGAGTTATCTGCCCCAGCATTCTCAATATACAGTGGTGGGACAGGCACAGGATTACAGTTGCAGACATTCTGGGTCAAAAAGTGGGGAATGCAAAGTCAAAAGGCATCATGAGTCTGCTGAGTCTATCACGGTTTGGAAATCCAGCCAGGCAAATATTTGACTATTTTTGATTAGCTTGCAAGACCTAGGAATAATCTCAGGGGCTCTTAGCTCCTTCCTCTGGGCATGGTTCCACCCTCTCATCACTCTTCCTTTTTTATAAGAGATAGCACATATTTGCAGCTCAGTAGTTTTATCAGCCTGCTTCCTGACTTTTTTAGCGCAAGCTGGCAGCATTTCTACTTGGACAATTTTCTCAAGAACTCTGTGGGTCTTGCATGGATTTCAGTGGTTTTCATTCCACCAGACAGAAGCCACATCCGCAGATCTTTGCAAACTAATTCCTTTTCGATGTTGGCCTCCTGCTAAGATGGCTGAGGAATAATGGCCTTGAGCTCCCTAGCTGTCCCTGACTGAGTCGAGAAGATATGTGAGGTGCACACACCCTTCATCTCTCGAAAGAGCCCCTTGTGGGACTGAGTACTCTGATCTTTTGATCTTTCTGAGGTTTTAGCCAAAGGCTGTACAGCCACACACTCAGCCTCTTCTCTATGTCACATTTTCCACAGCCATTGACTTTTAGCACCTTTTGCCACCTGGAGAGGTGGAGTTTTTTCTAAACAATTCAGTCCTAGTTCATTTTTGTGCCATGGTTTTCCTCTCTCTCTCTCTCTCTCTCTCTCTCTCTCTCTCGCTTCACTCACATTTTACTCTAAGCATCAAGGAGAAACCAAGCAGCATTGGCAACATTGGATGAAAATCTCCTTTTGCTGCACAACAAAGCTCATCCCTTACTTCCACACACTGTACTTAAAATAAATAATAAATAAATAAATGGTTCATCTTTTATAAGTTCTGCTTTCCACATAACTTCAGGAGACAATTTTTAAATCTTTAAAAATATTTATTTTCACTGATATGTAATAGTTGTACATATTTGGGGGGTAGGTGTGATATTTTGATAACTGTATACAATGTGTAATGGTCAAATCAGGGTAATTAGCATATCTGTATCACCTCAACATTTATCTTTTCTTTGTGTTGGGAACAGTACAAGTCTTCTTTTCTAGCTAGTTTTAATTACACAATAAATTATTGTTAACTATAAGTTCCTTGCTATACTGTTGAATATTAGAAACTGTTCCTTACATTTAACTATTTTTTTTTACCCCTTAACCAACTTCACTTCACTCTCCCTCCCCCTATTCTTCTCAGCTTCTGGTAATCCTCACTCTGCTCTCTACCTCCATGAGATCCATTTTTTAATTTTTTATTTATTTTATTTATTATTATTATTTTTTAGACAGAGTCTCACTCTGTCTCCCAGACTGGAGTGCAATGGCTCGATCTTGGTTCACTGCAACCACTGCCTCCCAGGTTCAAGAGATTCTCCTGCCTCAGCCTCCCGAGTAGCTGAGGTTACAGGTACCCACCACCATGCCCAACTAATTTTTGTATTTTTAGTAAAGACGGGGTTTCATCATGTTGGTCAGGCTAGTTTTGCACTCCTGACCTCAGGTGATTCACCCGCTTTGGCCTCCCACAGTGCTGGTTACAGGTGTGGGTTACTGCACCCAGTGGTGTTTGTTTGTTTGTTCGTTTTTTGAGACAGAGTCTCCCTCTGTCACCCAGGCTGGAGGGCAGTGGCCTGATCCTGGCTCACTACAACCTCGCCTCCTGAGTTCAAGTGATTCTCCTGCCTCAGCCTCCCAAGTAGCTGGGATTACAGGTGCCTGCCAACATGCCCGGCTAATTTTTGTATTTTTAGTAGAGATGGGGTTTCACCATGTTGACCAGGCTGGTCTCAAACTCTTGAGTTCAGGTGATCCACCTGCCTTGGCCTCCCAAAGTGCAGGGATTACAGGTGTGAGCCACTGTGACTGGCCCCACTTTTTTAGATCCCACGTGTGCCTGAGAACATGTGATATTTGCCTTTCTTTGCCTGGCTTATTTCACTTAACATAATGACCTCTGTGTTGCTGCAAATGACAGGATTTCCTTCTTTCTTATTGCTGAATAGTATTCCATTGTATATATAAACCACATTTTCTTTATACATTCATCTAGTGATGAACATTTAGGTTGATTCCATATTTTGGCTATTGTAAATAATGCTACAATAAACATGGGAGTGCAGGTATTTCTTGGATGTTCGGATTTCCTTTTTTTGGATATATACCCAGCAGTGGGATTGCTGGATCATGTGGTAGTTCTATTTTTAGACTTTTGAGGCACCTCCATGATGTTTTCCATAATGGTTGTACTACTTTACATTCCCACCAACAGTGTACAAGCATTCCTCTTTCTCTGCATCCTTGCAAGCATTTGTTAATTTCTTTGTCATTTTGATAATAGCCATTCTAACTGGGGTGAGATGATAGCTCATCGTGGTTTAAATTTGCATTTCCCTGATGATTAGTGATGTCGAGCATTGCAGGAAACAATTTTGTTAAGGTTTCTGCCACTATCCAGCAAAGATCCCTTTCCTCCAGTTTCCAATGACATGTTCCTCACTTCCTTCCTCTTATTGCCATATTGTGAATATCAGTCTGTCGCCCAGGTTGGAGTGCAGTGGTGCAATTATAACTCACTGCAGCCTCGAATTTCTGGGCTCAAGTGATCCTCCTGCCTCAGCTTCCTAAGTATGTGGGAGTACAGGCATGCACCACCATGCCCAGCTAATTTTTAAAAATTATTTTTTGTGGAGACGGAGTCTCACTTTGTTGCCCACGCTGATCTTGAACTCCTGTCTTCCAGCAATCCTCCTGCCTCGGCCTCCCAAAGCAACCATCCACATTTCTACAAGGAGATGCAGGCTTTATCATGCTCCTCAAAATCCCTCCACCCTTCTCCATTTTAGGTATTTGTTACAGCAACATCTCACTTCCAGGCACCGAAATCTGTATTAGTTTTCTATGGCTACGCAGCAGCTGAAAATACCCATTTATTATCTCACAGTTCCTGTAGGTCAGAAATCAGGGCTTGCTTGGCTCAACTGGGGATCGCAGCTTTGGATCTTGCAGGCTGAAATCAGGGTGTTGGCTGGGACTGGTGTCTCATCTGAGCCTTGGTGTCTTCTTGCAAGCTCACTGTTTTTTGGCAAAATTCATTCCTTGTGGTTGTAGGACTGAGAACCTCAGCTCCTAGAGGCCACCTGCTGAGAGTGTCTGCTGCTGGCTTTGAAGAAGTGAGCTGCCACGTTGTCACAGGGCCACGTGCCTTCGACCTGAGTGTGGCCTCTAGGCGCTCAGAGTGGCCAAGTTCATGCTGAATTCCTGGAAATGGAGACTCATCAGTGGGATTATTATGTTAATAGCAATGTAGACAATGCAGGTGCATTGGAAACTTGGGCTCAGGAGCAACCATCGCTGTCATCAGATATTTACTTACCATTCAAGAAGATTCTGTTTTGAAAATTTCCAAAAATTCTCAAGAAATGGAATCTTTGTCATGTGACAGGCCCTTTACATGTCAGTTGGAAAGGATGTGTTTTATTTCTAGGGGCCAATTCTGGATTTCTTTATAGGTTGAATATCTGTTCAACTTAAATTTCCTTTGCTAACCTACTTTCCTTTTCTCCTCCTATTAAAATAGCGCTTTTCACACTTTCATGTGCATAGTGGGAATCCCCTGGCATCTTGTTAAAAGGCAGATTCAGGCCAGGCGTGGTGGCTCACGCCTGTAATCCCAGCTCTTTGGTAGGCCGAGGCAAATGGATCACTTGAGGTCAGGAGTTCGAGATCAGCCTGACCAACATGGTGAAACCCCATCTCTACTAAAAATACAAAATTAGCCAGATGTGGTGGCACATGCCTGTAATTCCAAACTACTCGGGAGGCTGAGGCAGGAGAATCACTTGAACCCAGGAGGCGGATGTTGCAGTGAGCCAAGATCAAGCCATTGCACTCCAGCCTGGGAGACAGAGCGAGACTCCATCTCAAAATTAAAAACAAAAAAAGGCAGATAGATTCAGGTTCAGTAGGTCTAGGATGGGGTCTGAGATTCTGCATGTCCCCTAAGCTCTTACATAATGCAATTGCTGCTGGTCTGTGGACCACATTTTGAGTAGCAACATATATGTGAGAATGAGACGGAGAGGAGAAAGCGCCTGGTTAGCCAGGCAGTCATGTCTTCCTTGCACACACACACTAGATGGTGTTGTCAGCTCAGGAAACATGACAGTGCTTTCCTGGAGACCAAGTCTATTGGTCTAAAAATTCTCCAAGTCAGAGATCCCGGGATGGCAGACTTGGAAGGCTCCCAGAGATCATCTAGTGCCAGATGTAGCCGATGGGGAACTGAAGCCAGGGAGGGAAGAGGTTTGCTGGATATCACGCAGCAAGTCAGGGACCAATTCCCATCATTCCACTTAGCAGTCAGTGTTCTAAATGTGGCCTGGGTGTGTCACTTTTCTTAAAGTGTTAAAGTGGTACTCTCTCCTTCTTTTTAAAAATTGTAGCTTCAAAAATTGGCTTTGCTATATTACATTGTATACATTTTAAAGTCAAATTAATTTCCTATCTTAACAAAAAGTTCTAGAGACTTTGCCACGCAGCTTGGTGTATCATAGCCACAATATTTATTTAATTAGTGAAGTTGGAAATACTGGCCTCTTACAGTCTCCTAATGTTTGTGAGGTTTAATACACTACACACCAAATTTCTCACACCTATACACAACTTCCAAGGTTTTTTTTTTTAAAACAAACATTTTATTTGATCTTATGAAGTCAGTTAGCTGAAGGTTGCTACCTTCTGTTTGCAGCTGCTGATAATAATAATAATAATAATAATAATAATAATAATAATAATAATGATACTATGTGTTCAGCACTTTTCTAAGCACTTCATATAAATGAGCTAATTTAATTCTCAAAATTAAAAACATTCCACCTCCCGCCCACCACCCCTGCTTTAAAAGGTAAGGACATTGAGACTCAGAGAGGGTAAGGAACTGGTCTAAGTTTGCACAGATAATAAGCGGCAGGGCTGGGATTTGCACTTAGTCTTGCTCCAGAGCTCAAACAGCTCTGTCTTCCTCTCTCTGGGAGGGGAGGAGAGGGCCTGCCCAAGTCACGCAGCTCATATTCCCTGATCACTCTTAATCCATGTACACAACACTGCCAGTTACAGCCTGACGGTTAATGAGAGTCTGTCCTGCTTGGAGAGTGCAGGAGTTTATAGCTGATTGATATCTCTGGGCAAGCACATTTCTTTCCAAAGTGTCAAGTCAAGGAGAAGAACTAGGGACAGGGCTCCAAGTTCAGAGTTGCCTGTGGACCAGACCTGCTCCTCCACATGCAGCTGTCCGGGTGGAATTCCATCCTTGCCCATGTCACACTCTGCCCTCTTTCTCTTTCAAACAGGATGCGGGTGGGAGGTATGTCTTCAGTTTCCCTCTCTGAGGTTCTTGCTGCTCAGTCAGAGAGGCCTACAGGCAGTGGCCAAATTGACTGCGATTGCTTCATCCAGCCCTTACCCATCTTCAGTGTGCTTAATACCCAGGGGATAGAGAGTTCTGTCTCAATCGCCATGTCATGATTCCTTTCTGAATCATCTTGAACTTTCTTTTACGAGGTAAGGGTCAGTGGAACAGATTGCTCATGAGAATCTTAAGACAGTTATTTCAGTATCCTATAAAGAAATTGCCAGAATGGGTGTGTCTGTTGGGTGGCTTGAGTTATTAACTCAAGCGTGATTGCAAAGCACCACTGGATTCTAATTGCCAACAGTTATTTTTCATTTATTTATTTATGAGATGGAATCTCGCTCTGTTACCCAGGCTGGAGTGCAGTGGCACAATCTCGGCTGACTGAAATCTCCATCTCCTGGGTTCAAGCAATTCTCCTGCCACAGCCTCCTGACTAGCTGGGATTATAGGCACCTGCCACCATGCCTAGCTAATTTTTGCATTTTTAGTAGAGACGGGGTTTCAACACGTTGGCCAGGCTGGTCTTGAACTCCTGACCTCAGGTGATCTGCCTGCCTTGGCCTCCCAAAGTGCTGGGATTACAGGCATAAGCCACCGTGCCTGGCCACCAACGGTTATTTTAACAAGCAAATTACTGGGTTATAGACCTTGAAGGGACTTTAGAAGTCATGTGCTCAACTCCTTCCTAATGCAGAAATTCCTCCTCCACGTTCCCAATACACAGCCAGCTGACCCTAGCTTGTCCACTGCCACTTACTCCACAGCCATCCCGTTCTGTTCTTGGGTGGCTTCCTGATGAAGCGGGAATCACTTTCCCTGCAACTTCCCTTATTGCTCTGGGATCCCTCTGAGGCCACCCAGTGCGTTTGCTCTCTCTGCTCCAGGACACCCCTCAGAAAGTCAAGTAGGGAGGATATGGCCTTACACTTACTCTGCTCCAGGCTAAGCAGCCCTAGTTTCTTCATTGTGGTGTGTGGTTTTCACTGGGATTCTGGGAGTGAGTGAAGACAGAGGTTTGCATGAAATCTGCTGCATTTTACCAAAAATCAAGACTGTCTTCTGTATCCTTACAGAGAGGTCCAGGCCAGCTCAGGCTGACCCCCAAATGCTGTGAGGGTAGTAAAACATTGGCAGGCTGTGGGGTGGGGACTGGCTGCGTGCATGTGTGTGTGTGTCTGTGTGTGTGTGTGTGTGTGTGACAGAGAGAGAGAGAAAACCAGAAATGGTGTGAGACCCCAAACCTTCATTTTCCATAATAGGAAGTCAAGAATAATCATCTAAAATAGAAAAACTGGCCAGGTGAGGTGGCTCATGGCTGTAATCCCAGCACTTTGGGAGGCCGAGGCAGGTGGATTACCTGAGGTCAGGAGTTCAAGACCAGCCTGGTCAACATGGCGAAACCCCATCTCTACTAAAAATACAAAAATTAGCCAGGCATGGTGGTGGATGCCTGTAATCCCAGCTACTCGGGAGGCTGAGGCAGGAGAATTGCTTGAACCCGGGAGGTGGAGGTTGCAGTGAGCCAAGATCACGCCACTGCACTCTAGCCTGGGTGACAGAGCAAGACTCTGTCTCAAAACAAACAAACAAAAATACGAAGGCAAACACTGGAAGAAATAGCTGGAGGAGTTGAGAATAGAGTCTCTCTTGGGAGCCAGATCTGGGGGTGGAGAGAGGTGGGAATGGGAGACTGCTGATTTTATTATAAACCTTGAGAATGATTAGGTTTCTTAAGCTAAATACATATATTCCTTTGACAAAAATTATATTTAAAAATTTCCCCAAACGGAGTCTGAGTGCAAACTCTTATTAGTAGGGAAAAAATTAGGGACCTTAGTTTGCCTTTGTTTGGCATGATCGATTGAAAACAGGCCAGGATTTGCAGTAGGAGAGACCTGAGTATAAATTCTGCTTGGTCACATGGACTTTGAGCAAGTTACTTACCCACTCCGAGCCACGATATCCTCTTCTGTATTATAGGGGCAGTGCTACTACCTCTGAGGGGGTGGTGAGGATTGAAGGAGGTGAGGGGGGCCAAGCTGGGAGCCTGGGGCACCAGCCAGAATCAGAGCTCAGGGACCACTTCCTGAGGGAGAGAAGATGCTGACCAGACAAAGATCCCAGGTTGCTCAATCCCAGAAGTGTCCTGGGAACCAGATCAGCCTCAGCCAGCAGAGTGTCTGGGAACTGTTGCTCTTCACAGAAGCCCTGAGTTCTGTGCTGTTTGCTGCATGTGGTAGAACAAAGAGGTCCTTGGAGGTTCCCAATCCTCCTTCCTTCTCCATCTGCAGGAATATCAACTTTTCAACACTTCTCTTGTAATTAGTCCATCTCCCTGGGAAAACATTGAATCCAAGAGCTGCAGGGATGTTTAGGGTTCATTTTATCCAATCTTTTCACTGTGGAGTTGAGGGCACGGCTCCCTCAGAGAGCACAGGAAGGGGCCCCAGAGGCTAGTTCATAGTTTGTGCCTGGAGAAGGGAGGATGAACTTCGGCCACTCTGCAGAACCCTGCGGGCAGTAGGATTTGGAAGACTCAGGGAGCTTGTCCTGATGTGGACTGGGCTCTGTGCACAACCTTTGCAACCAGAAGCTGAAGGGAAATCAAACTGCCTTTTCTGGGTCAGATTCTGGACAATTCTGGGAACTTGTCTGCAGAACAAATTGATTTATGGGGACCCAGCTGTGAGGAACTGTACAAAACAGGGATCAGAGGAGATACACTCCAGATGTGGCTTCATTAAAAGCAGGGAGAGAAAAATACGGCTGAAGGGCTTCTTAGGTCCATTGGGCCGTGACTCGGAGTCTTGGGAGAAAGTATGGCAAGGGCCTGTGGCATCAAGCGGCTGACTTTGAGCTGGATAGCAGCTTAGAATTCATTCTGTCCAACCTCCAGACACTAGGGATGGGGAAGCCAGAGGCCTAGAGAGCAAAGGGGCTGATTCGGTATCACACAGCCAGGGTAGCCAAGGTTGGGACCAGAACCCACGTCTTCTGCTGCCAGTTCCAACGTCTGTCCCATCACCTGCCCCTGCCTCTCACTCTAAGAGTCTGCCTTTTAGAAACCAACTCAAGGCTGTTTTCTTAATTAAAAGCCAATCTCACTGTGTTGGTGAGATTGGCCACACTTTGAAGAATGAGGCCAGGCATCTATCTATCTATCTATCTATCTATCTATCTATCTATCTATCTAATTAGCTTTCTTGGATGGAAAAGATCCTTTTGTATTGCCCAGAGGGAATCCTTGCCCTAATGCTGGGGTGAAAAACTTCCTCCCCATCTCACAGACTTCCAAGGCTCTCGGCAACACTTTCCATTGGAGTAGTTGGTTCTTTGTCAGGTGTCTGCTCTCTGTCTTCTGAGGGTGCAGGTGGAGGTGGTCCAAGAGACGGGAGCATGATCCTCTCCAGCTGCATTGTCTCTGTTGGGAATGGATTTCAGTTTTCTGATGCTCGGAAACTAGATTCACATTTGGTAGAATCTCAAATCCAGCTTGGTTTCCCATTCCTATAACAGCATTCCTGATGTGTGTGAAATTCTTCTTTTTCTTTAACACTTTAATTTTCCCAGATTATTTAAAAATATAAGATTACTGCTGAAAATCTGGAAACTACACAAGAATGTAAAGAAACCACTTAAGTTCTCACTACCCAAAGACAGCACCATTTGGAATTACGTCCTTCCAGTCTTTTTTCGTGATCACACTTCCTTTCATTTGGCTGAAATTGGCTGGATAATAACTTTTGCCCAGTGAGCATAGTTCTGTTGCTTGGAAAAAGGCAGAATTAGTCTCCTTCCTAACAAAAGTTCAGATGCATGAAGTCAACATCTGTCCCCAGATTCTTCCTACCTCTGGGAAAAAACCTCAACCCCATTTAAATGCCAAGGTTTATAACAGCACTTCTGATTATTACCATTTACTAAGTGTGCACTACTTGTAAGGTACAGTGCTAACTAATTCTCATACATTCCTTGTTTAATCTTCACAACAACCTCATGAAGGAGGCATTTTCTAGCTCCAAGTTTTAAAAGAAACTGAGACTCAAAGAGAATGGGTCCCATTTAGGCTGACGGGAACCAAGTTCAGTGAGATGAGAGCCTCCTTTATTCTGGACCCTTTATCTCTATTATGGTGGCCAGAGGACACAGCAGCATTCCTGATGCTTTATCAGAACTGCCCCTTGAATGCCATGCTTGCAAAGCAAACTTTTACATTTGTTCCTGACAAATTAATCTCTTTCATTCTGGCTCATAAAGACCTTTTTTTCCCTCATAAAAATCTCTGAGGCAACATGACTCATGTAGAATTCCTGGAAACAATATTTTTAAAAAGCCTCCTAGCTATAGCACCTGGCACACACGACACATCCCATACCTGGTTACTATTACTACAGAAGGCAGGTGACACTGTTTGTTTCGTTCCCTGGGTTTCCCTCTGTTCCCCACAGTAGAACAATGGGCTAAAAGTAGCTCTGTGCTAAGGAGGGCCCATCCGCTGTGGTTGGTCTCTGAGGTGGCTTCCAGAAGCATCCATCCTTTCCAGCTATTGGCAGAAACAAGAAGCCAAGAAGATACTTCCTTGAATGTGGGCCCATCTGCTCTCATGCCTGGCTCTGCTCTCCCTCATCATCCCTCCCATTTGCGGGTGGGGTGGGTTTGTCTGTCCTTGGTGGGAAGACCTCTTCCCTCCCCAGCCCTCAGACCCCAAATCCATGACACCACAGCCCACCTTGCTGCTACTTCGGCTGCTGATTCCTCACCCACGTTGCTCAGAAGTGACATTCCTTTTAGTGGGGTGGAGCTGTTGAAATGGATTTTAAAATATGGGTTGAATTTGAATTTTTGGTTGTTTTCTAAATTTGGTCACAATCATGTCTTCTTGTTCTAAAACAAGAGAGAAAGGAAGCAGCTGCCCTCTGGGAAGCCTCCAGAGAGGAGAGGGGAAGAAGAAAGCCCTCACGTGTCTCTGTTGATTGTTCTGCTTCCTTCCTGAGCTCTCTAAAGCCAGGTCTGTAGGAGTGGAA
This sequence comes from Homo sapiens, assembly GCF_000001405.40. Lineage (NCBI taxonomy): Eukaryota > Metazoa > Chordata > Mammalia > Primates > Hominidae > Homo > Homo sapiens. Next base: position 98,867,334 of record NC_000009.12, read on the forward strand.
GGAGATAGACATGGCCCTGAAGATGCCCACTTGGTATCCCTGGCCTGGGAAACTCTTGCAGGGCACACCATAGCCACCCAACAAGGCTACTGGCTCCTGCTCATGCCAGACCGGTGTGCTCTGCCCTGTGGGGAACGGAAAACACAGACACTGTCCCCACCCTGGGGAGCAAATCCCACTTGAATCTGGCCAATATAATTCAAGGCAGATACAGAGAGGTGCAAGGAGCCCAGATAAAGGAGTGACCTTGTCTTCATTAGAGGGGGTGACATTTGTGCCACCTCAGAAGGCTGAGTAGGCTCCAGATAGTCTGTGGAGCAGGGGAGGGCAGTCCAAGGGTGGACATGGAGGCCAGGAATGGGGGGAGGGGGGATCCTACAATATGGAGAAGGGAGGCTGGGCAGGGGAGGCCACAGCCTGGCTGGGTCCACATCTTCAAGGGTTGGATGCCAAGCTGAGTTTAGATTTCATCTTGGAGGCAAAGAGGAGAAATGGTCTGTGCAGTGAGGACAAGGTTGCAGCTGGCCAAGCAGTGGTTTCCTCCCATTGCATCATCCTTCCTCAAGCGTCCATCCCCCACGGAGGGAGCTGCAGAGGGCTGGGATTCTGCAAAGGGCTGTGTGGTTTGGCTTCTGTCCCCAGCCCTGAACTAAACCTTTCCTGCCAAGGTCAGGGACCTCTCATTTACTAAATCCTTTGAAAAGTTTTCTTCCTCATGTGCCTGAATCTCACTGCTGCATTTGGCCTGGTCTGTCCCTGTCTCTTGTTGAGATACTCTCCTCTTGTGGCCTGTGGCCACCACACATCTGGGTTCTCCATCTACTCTCCCTGCTTCTCAATCACTTCTCTGGGCTTCTTCTCCAGCATTCTTAAGTCACATTCCCCAGGATTCCATGAGACCTGCTTGTGACCCTTCATGCTTTTCCTGGGGGATCTCAAACACGGGTGTGGCTTTATTTTATTATTATTTTTTGAGATGGAGTTTCACTCTTGTCACCCAGGCTGGAGTGCAATGGGGTGATCTTGGCTCACTGCAACCTCCGACTCGTAGGTTCAAGTGATTCTCCTGCCTCAGCCTCCTGAGTAGCTGGGATTACAGGTGCCCATCACTACACCTGGCTATTTTTTATTTTTTATATTTTTAGTAGAGACAGGGTTTCATCATTTTGGCCAGGCTGGTCTTGAACTCCTGACTCCAGGTGATCTGCCCACCTTGGGCTCCCAAAGTGCTGGGATTACAGGTGTAAGCCACCATGCCTGGCCAGTTGTGGCGTTAATACCAATAGTTAGCTGTGTCTATCAGGAATTTTTTTTTTTTTTTTTTTGAGACAGAGTCTCACTCTGTCACCCAGGCTGGAGTGCAGTGATGTGATCTCGGCTCACTGCAACCTCCGCCTCCCGGGTTCAAGTGATTCTCGTGCCTCAGTCTCCTGAGCAGCTGGGATTACAGGCTCCTGCCACCATGCCCAGCTAACTTTTGTATTTTTAATAGAGACAAGGTTTCAACATGTTGTCCAGGCTGGTCTCGAAATAATGACCTAAGGTAATCTGACTGCCTCAGCCTCCCAAAGTGCTGGGATTATAAGGTGAGCCACTGTGCCTGGCTATCTATCAGGAATTATATCAGAAGTAGCAGAAACCTGTAAAACAGTGATTGAATCAAATTGAGGTTTTATTTTTCTTAGGTAAGAGGAAGTTCAGATTTAGGCATTTCTAGGCTGATACAATGTCTCTGTGGTGCTGAGGGATGGAGGCTCCTTCTGTCTTTCCACACGGCCTTGTTTAGTGTCTTCCTGTGACCTGTGGTTGTAAGATGGCTGCCTCCTCTCACCCCTCCAAGCATTGAGCCTGTCTTCATTCAAGGAGACGGGAAACCTGCCAGCTGAGTCTGTCTTCTGTTAAAGAGCTTTCCTGGGGGCTCCACCAGTGATGTCTATTTACATCTCTGCATCAGTCAGTTATTGCCAGGGTAATGCTCTGTAACAACCACTCCCAAATTCAGGCTCGGCTCATCTGAGCAGTAGTCCAGACTTGGATCGGCTGGCCTTGGCTCTAAGAGCACTAGTTCTGGGATCTAGAATTTGCTGGGATCCGAGCAAGCAGTGATTACCTGGGTGGGTTCTTCTAATGGTGAATCATGAAAAGAAGGAAACCAAACTATGCAAGCAAATAAAAGGTTTCTGCTTATTCCTTCCACTAACATTCCAAAGGAAGTCATGTTACTAAGCTCAACATCAACGCGTAAGTACTTACACTCTATTCACAATGGAGAGGAGAAGAATGCATATTTGTGGAGGAATAATCCACATTAACACAATCTCACTGTCCAGCCATGTATGTTGCCTCTTAGCTGCAAAGGAGGTTAAGTGTGGCTTTTTTTTTCTGAGTCGGAGTCTCACTCTGTCACCCAGGCTGGAGTGCAGTGGTGGGATCTCAGCTCACTGCAGCCTCCTCCTCCCAGGTTCAAGCAATTCTCCTGCCTCAGCCTCCCGAGTAGCTGGGATTACAGGTGCCCACCACCACACCAGGCTAATTTTTGTATTTTTAGTAGAGACAGGGTCCACCCTTGGACTGCCCTCCCCCCACCCCCTCCACCCCGCCAACAGAAGGGGTCAGGTCTCAACTCCTGACCTTGTGATTCGCCCACCTTGGCCTCCCAAAGTGCTGGGATTACAGGCTTGAGCCACCATGCCCGGTCAAGTGTGGCTTTTCTAGTTGGCACATTGCCATCCTAAACAAATGCAAGGTTTTGATAGTAAGGAAGTAGAGGAGAGTGGATGTTGGCTAGGCACACTTTGCCAGGACTTTTTACAATAGTCATGGGCCAGGAGTTTCCAGGCAAAAATTAATGAAGATAGGGATCACACTGGCTTACAGTAACACTGGAGAAGCTTATTATCCTTGTGAAGACACAGAGACAGGCAATGCCACATCTCAAACATATCCAAGATTTACATGGGCCACTGAGTTCCTTTCTCCCATTGCAACATTTCACAAACTTTCCCCCATTTTGGTGTCCTCCCAAGTACTGTCCCTCATTTTGGCACCTCTCCTAGTACTGTCAGAGGTGCAACGACATGATGGGCATGGGAAGGTTACCAGGAGAGGTGGAAGAGTCATCAATGTCATCCCCATTTGGAGTTGCTTGTCCTTACGTCTTCTCGGGAGATGCTAGCCTGTGTCAGTCCTAGCACATGCCCATCAGCCCTGAAGGACTCTGGCTCTGTCACATGTCCTGGTCCCAGGGCCCAGCATCAATCTCTTTCATTTGTAGCATCAGTGCTTCAAATCACTATCAAATATATTCAGGTCCTGACATCAATTAAGGGACAGGAAGGTGCAAAGCAATCTAAGACAAGAAGTGAGAGCTGGTGTTGAAAGAAGGAGGCTAGGGCGTTGCTAACTTCAGGATCACAAGGACTGTTCCACTGCCTAATCCTAAAGAGCAAAGAAAGCAAGAGACTTTTACTAGATCAAACTTGCAGTTCCTGAAGCAGGGAGTCCAGAATGGTTTCCAAAGTCTGCATCATTATTGTCTTCTTCAGCTTCTCACTCACCACCTACACACTGGCAATTCCAGATCCCTCTCCAGCATGGGTCTCTCTCTACCCGACTGCCTGCTGACCATCTCCTCTGCTTGCACCACAGAGCCTGCAAACACAACACCTTCTAATCTGGACTCGTCATCTTGTCCTCCCCTAACCTACTATTCTTTCTCTCGTGCTGCCCACAAAGCTGAAAAAATCTGGTCTATCTCACTGGCATCTATTTCTTTCCCTTTGTCCTAGCAAGAGCCTGAGTATTTCTTTGGGGTCCACTCCTTTGCCTCTTAGTCCCTACAGTTTCTATGGCTCCACCAAAGCTTAAGGGGTGGAGCTCATGGATTAGGTCTAAGTCAATTAGCAAAGCCATAGTGATTGGCTGGAGGTGAGCATGTGACCAAAGCTGGTCCAATCAGGGCAAATCTCAGACTATTCATGGGAATGCTTGGACACAAGCTCTTGTGTGTTTTTGTTGAATTTAAACCTGGAGGGATGTAGTTCAGAGAGGTGCTGGCAGCCATCTTGAAAAGATATGGGACGAGCTGTCAAGAATGGAGTCAGCACAAAGTACTTGAGTCGGGAGATGGGGGGAGGAAATGCTGATCATATGACCCTCATACTGTTCAGTTATATGAACACTGCACTCCTCTTCCCTTTTTTTAAAGGTCAGTTTGACTAGTTTTTCAGACATTTTCAACCGAAAGTGTTCTGCTACACCCTTCTCACTGTAGGACTACACCACTGATTCAGCCAGTTAAGCCAGAAACCTGGGACCCACCTGTCGACTCACTCCCCACGTCTAAGGAATACCAAAAAGCTCTCAATCCTTTAGGCAGTCCCCTCCCTGCCATCCCCACTGCTATTGCCTCTGTTCGGGCCTGTGTCCTCTTTTGCCTGAGCCATGGCCAGTGACCATCAAGTGGCCTCCTCTTCAAACTTGCCGTTTCAATCTCTCCTCCTCCCCATCCAGCAGCGTAGCCTTTCTAAGAGCAAACCTAACCATGGTACAGTGCCTTATCACCTCCCAAGCTCCGCTGGCAGGTCCTCCTTGACCTGGCCCCTGACTGAGGCTGTGGTCTCACCTCCTGCCACCTCTCACCCCCTGGAAGAAGATGCCTGTTCCGCCTGCACATCCCTGAATGGACGAGGCTGTCTCACACCTCCACTGGAAGACATGATCTTCCTACCTTTTCTTCCAAGAACATTCTTCCTCAACCTCTGATGTCCAGTGCAATCAACTCTGTGTAGCCTTCTCTGACCACCCTGCTGTAGTTGTTTATTCCTGCCTTCCTCAACACTGTTCCTTGTCTTACCTTTATCATAGCAGTTGATCCGGTTTGTGAGGGAGGGCTTCTAGAAGGCGGGTGTGATGTGTCTGGTCATTACTGTAGCATTTGCCACAAGGCCTGGCCCAGGGGTGGTCATCCAGTGTCTGCTGGCCAGCTGCGTGAATGATTGATTGAATGAATGAAGGAAGGAAAGAGCAGATTAGACTAGGGAACATCGTCCTCTGACTGCTTTTGCTGCTGGGAGGGAAGGCCTTTGGCTTGGAAGGAAGCTGTAGTGAATGGGAAAGGGGAAAGAACTACCAAAACATATTGTGAGGTCACAGTCAAGCGGAACTCTGGCTGGCTCACACCTGTAATCCCAGCACTTTGGGAGGCCGAGGCGGGTGGATCACTTGAACTCACAGAGTTCAAGACCAGCCTGGCCAACATGGTGAAACTCCATCTCTACTAAAAAGACAAAAATTAGCCAGGCGTGATGGTGGGTGCCTATAATCCCAGCTCCTAGGGAGGCTGAGGCAGGGGAATCACTTGAACTTGGGAGGTGGAGGCTGCAGTGAGCCAAGGTCGCGCCACTACACTCCAGCCTGGATGACAGAGTGAGACTCTGCCTCAAAACAAAACAAACAAACAAAAAACAAAAACAAAGTGAACTCTGTGGAGGACTTTTCTTTACTCTGTAGATACATCTTGAGCCGAGTACAGACTGCTCTGGTGGCACAGAGGCGAGCTATCTAGACAGAATCAGGTGCTCGTGAGTGTTAATTCCACCCAGCTCTGCCACTGACTACCAGTATGACTTTGAGCAACTCATTTCCCTTATCTGAGCCTCAGTTTCCCTTTTGGCCTATCAGTTATAGTCCCTGACCTGCCTGCCTTGTAGAGCTGTTGTATGGATCAAAGAAAAAGGGGCTTTCTAGACCCAGGAGTGCTCTTCGAAGGGAGGCCAGGACGCCCAACAGTGACTCACGATCTCAACTCTTCTCATGTTCACCACTCCCACTGTGTTGTGAGGTCTCCCAGATCTGGGGAATCCATGGTCATTATGGATTACAAGTGTGAATGGACAAGCTTGGATACCTCTGAGCACACATTCCAAGCTGCCTTTTTTTTTTGAGACGGAGTTTCGCTCTTGTTGCCCAGGCTGGAGTGCAATGGGGTGATCTCAACTCACTGCAACCTCTACCTCCTGGGTTCAAGCGATTCTCCTGCTTCAACGTCCCTAGTAGCTGAAACTACATGTGCCCACCACCATGCCCGGCTAATTTTTTGTATTTTAGTAGAGACAGGGTTTCACCATGTTGGTCAGACTGGTTTCGAACTGTGACCTCAGGTGATCCACCTGCCTCGGCCTCCCAAAGTGCTGGGATTATAGGCGTGAGCCATCACACTTCCATGCTGCATTCTTTTGATGGCTGCTGACAAAATCTCAACTCCAGCTGTAAGCAAAAATGGAATTTATTGGCACACAGAACTAAGAAGTCAGGGACTTCAGGCACAGCTGGATCCAGGATTCCAACAATATCTATCCTAGGGCTTTTTTTTTTTTTTCTCTGCTTCCTTCTGCTGGCTTCATTCTGAGGCAAGCCTTCCTTACTCCCTGAAGGGACTCCAGGAAGCTCCAGGCTTCCGTCATTCTTACAGCTAGCAATCTCAATATTTTCAGTGAAAGTTCAGGTATTGAGTTTTGCTAGATTCTCTTGGATCAAGGGCCTATCTCTGATGTACCACTGTGGAGAGGGGCATTAGAGGGACCTGAATTCCATGCCCACCTTTGGAGCAGGGACGGACATAGCACTACCTGAACTAGGCATGGGGAGAAGTGGCTCAGTGAAGCAGGAAAGAGAAGATGCATGCCAATCAGGCAATAGCAACTGTCATCAGTTGCCAGTGGCCTGGGCAGAGTGGGTGTTAAATCGTGAGGTCAGCATATCTTGTGTCTGGGGCCCCTTCCTCCTTCTGGGTGCCATCTCCCACCCCTGTGCCATCAGCTGGAAGTGGCAGAGAATTACTCAGATGAGCTGGGCCCACAGAGCCAGAGGAATCTGTGGGTCTGGGAAGGCAGCCAGGAGGTCAGGCCTCCTAAGCTTGGGGTGGAAGGAGCCTGCCAAGTCTTGGACTCCCTCCTTGCCCCAGCGCCTCCCTGCCTGGCTGCAGCTAGATCCCTGGAGGCAGACAAGTTCGGAGGGCAAGGGTGAGGGGGTGCACTGATAGAAAGAGGAGTGACGGGACTCAGGAGGCCTGAGGTTAGGCTGGGTGAGCTCTGGCTCACTGGGAAGCCATCTCTGCCTTAGACTTACCTCACAGGTGTGCCACCTGAGCACAAGGCCCCATGCCTAGACGGGCCCCATGCTTGGTATAATGCTCTACTGTTACCATCTTGAAATTCTTCATAGTTTTTGAAATAGATGCCTCCAGTTTTCATTTTGCACAACCCCCAAAAGTTATGTAGCCAATCTTGGTCTCAGTCTCCCCATCCATGTCAAGAAAGTGATGGACTAAAGGACCAGAGGAGCTTGGAGGTGACTTCCCGCTGACAGCAGAAGCAGGTGGTCCTCCAGGGGAGCTTCTCTGGGCTCACAAGTGGTTATTTCCCCTGAGAAGGTCACCCAAAGCTGCCCCATGTTGCCACCTCCTTTCTCCTCTTCCAGCTCCTGTACTTTGAGGGGTGGAAAGAGCTAGAGCTGCGATCAGCACCCACGACTCAGGGAGCACTGGACTTCCCATCATCACTCACCCATCTGGCTTAACGCCCCCCCCACCATCTGGCACCATGCTACTCATAGTGTGGGTCATGGACCAGCAGCCCTGGCATTCCCTTGGAGCGTGTTAGAAATGCAGACTCTCAGGCCCCACTCAGACCTACTGAAGCAGAATCTGCATTTTAACAAGCTCCTGGGTGATTCTCAGGCTCATTAAGGTCTGAGAAGTTCTGATGAAGGCTCATTAAGGCTCCCTCCAGGGCATGCCTTGGGCCTCAGGACTGGGCAGGACAGCATTGCGGGGTGGATAAAGGCACAGAGCTGGAGAAGTTCAGGGTGTCCACATTTGCTCCAGCTGCCATGACAAGTACTCCAGGCTGGGTGGCTTAAACAACAGAAACTGATTTTCTTGCAATTCTGGAGGCAAGAATTCCCAGATCAAGGTGTGCCCTGGGATGGCTTCCTCTGAGGCCTCTCTCCGTGGCTTGTAGGTGGCCGCCTTCTGTCTCTGTGTTCACATGGCATTCACTCTGTGCTTCTCTGTGTCTTAATCTCCTTTTCTTATGAGGACACCACCCGTCAGATTGGGTTAGGGTACCCCAATGAACTCACTCAAACTTAATGACCTCTTTAAAGACCATGTATCCAAATACAGCCACATTCTGAGGTACTGTGGGTTAGGACGTCAATGTATGAATTCAGGGAGGGACGTGATTCAGCCCATGGCACGGGTGTGCACAGGAGGGGCACAAAATGGAAGTCATCAAGCGTTCACTATGTGCCAGGCTTGGAGCCAGGTGCTCTGCTTATTTTTTTCACTTAATCCCCAAACAGCCCTGAGAGGTACAAAGTGAGCCACAAACACTGTTGAGGTCCCTCTGTGTGCCAGGCACTGGGCTAGGCACACACATACATCATGGCACGGCTTCCCCACAGAGTCTGCTCCTCATCACACTCACAGGTGTGGAACCTGAGACCCAGTGAGGAAAGAGAGGATGCTCCAGGTCATTCAGGGATGGGGCCAGGACTCAGGTGTTTGTGGTCCATTTTCACCCCTCCTTGTCTACCTCCTTGCCTTGCTGCTTGGGAACAGTGGTTTACAAGTCATTCTGCATTGCCATCAAATAAACTAGAGGGTCTTTTTGTTTTCTTTTTTGAGATGGAGTCTCACTCTATTGCCCAGGCTGGAGTGCAATGGCGCAATCTTGGCTCAGTGAAAACTCCGTCTCCCGAGTTCAAGCGATTCTCCTGCCTCAGCCTCCCAAGTAGTTGGGATTATAGGCATGCACCACCACACTTGGCTAATTTTTGTATTTTCAGTAGAGATGGGGTTTCACCATGTTGGTCAGGCTGGTCTTGAACTCCTGACCTCAGGTGATCCACCCGCCTTGACCTCCCAAAGTGCTGGGATTACAGGTGTGAGCCACGGTGCCTGGCCATTAGAGGGTCTCTAATTGTAGAAGACAAAAAGAAGTGGTGAAAAACAAAAAGACACCTGCTGGCTGGTGGGGTGTCCTGGAGAAAGGCCACACCCATACCAGGCACCAAGGCTGGTGTGTGATGAATGTGGAACCCCTGGACCCTTTGCAGATGGGGTTCTGGAGATACTCCAGCCTCAGCAAGGGGAGGAGCATATGCTCCAAGCTTGCCAAGTGGGTGGTTCCTGCGGTTGGATTTTGGGGCACACTCTGCTCTGGGGAGTGGAGCTCACAGAGCCATTTTCAGTCCCGGTAAGCCCCCAGTTTCCTTCTGCCACTCTGAGCTCTCTTTACCTATTCTTCATCATCGGGACACTTGTGCGTCTACACTGGCAGTCATGGGATTTTTTTTTTTTTTTTTTTTTTGAGACAGAGTCTCACTCTGTCATCCAGGCTGGAGTGCACTGGTGCTATCTTGGCTCACTGCAACCTCTGCCTCCCAGGTGCAAGTGATTCTCCTGGCTCAGCCTCTCGAGTAGCTAGGATTACAGGTGCATGCCACCACACCTGGCTAATTTTTGTATTTTTTTTTTTACTAGAGATGGGGTTTCACCATGTTAGCCAGGCTAGTCTCGAACTCCTGGCTTCAAGTGATCCATCCACCTCTGCCTCCCAAAGTGCTAGGATTATAAGCATGAGCCATGGCGACCGGCCTGGTCATGGGATTTTAAAGCAGGCAGGGGCCCTGGAAGGACCCAGTGGGCCAGTCCATTGACCCTGGTTTGAGTCACAAACTCCTTGGAGAGCCTCAAGGGAGCCATGGCCCCTGTCACTAGGAGAGCACACCTGTGTGCACACACACATAGACACACCTGACCATTCTCAGCTGCAGGAGCCTCCAGGTGCAAGATTCTGCCTTAGAAGGCTCTACAGCACCTCCGCCCTTGGTGCACACCCTGGGGGATGAGTTCTTACTTTCTGCCGTGCCTGCCCGGGGCTTCGGTGCACCACCCCAGTTACCTCTTTTTATTGGAGCCGACTCTGCCTCCCAGTGGCTTCTTTCCATGGGTCATTGTTCTGCTCCTCAGAGCCACCTGGAATGAGGTCACCATGTCCTCTCTGTGACACAGATGAGAAGCTAAGGATCTACATCCCCTGGAGTTCGCCCCTCTCCATGGTGTTCAGCTGTGGCTCTTTCTTCGCAGGGCGGGCATCCAGACCCTTCCCAGCCTGTCTTGGCCCCAGGCCCATTCCTGTTTCTCATTGTTCTCATTAAGGGCTGGCCCCCAAAACACAGAATTCCAGGTGCAGTCTGGCCAGCCCAAGGAGAGCAGATCGCTCATCCCGTTTGTTCTGGATGTTGGCCCCCATTAATGTAGCTCTGGAGACAAACATAACACAGCAGATACACTGAGCTGGGGGTCAACTCAGACTCCCAGATTGTCTCCCTGTAAACAGCTGTGCAGTCACATCTCCCCTTTCCTCTTTGTAGTATTTGTGAGGTTTTAGATGGAAATCCCAGTTTATACCAGATATTTGGTTTTCAATCATGCTCCTTTACTGCTCATAGTGCCCTCAGCCAAAGGCATTTCCACCCTGAGCTTCAGTTTCCTCACAGATTTGTTGGGATGGTGAAATGTATAAGGTCAATGTTGGGGCTTGGAAGGGTATTCTCTTTCTGTGTGTTGTTGTTTTGGAAAAGATTTCTGGTTGTTTCCAAAATCCATTTCATCCCTTTTACATGGAAATAAAACTTTCACCTTGGTGTGCAGATGCTCAGCATGAGACCATAATTCCCAGCCTGTCTTGCGCTACATGGAAGGACTGGGCAAGCAGCGTGCAATAGTCTCTGCTTATCCACACTTCCCACAGTTTCTGTTACCCAAAGTCCAGAACGGTAAGTGATTTGGGGAGAGAGAGAGAGAGAGAGAGAGAGAGAGAGCGAGAGAGAGAGAGGGAAGTCACGTTCACATATTTTTTTATTACTGTGTATTATTATAATTGTTCTATTTTATTAGTTACATTGCTAGTCTTTCACGGTGCCTCATTTATAAATTAAACTTTATCATAGGTATGTATGTATAGGAAAAACATAGTGTATATAGGTTTGGTACTATCTGCAGTTTCAGGCATTCACTGGGGGTCTTGGAACGCATCCCCCACAGATAAGAGGGACTCTTGTACTCAATTTCCAGTTGTGCCTTTGAAGAGAGGAGTGTGTCCTCTTTCGTTACCTGCTCCGTGGATGGAGCATAGATGTGTGGGGCGCTATCTGGGATACCTGGATGAGTACAGCCCCTTGGGATGGCAGAGCAATAAGACAGAAGCAGCCTGGGCCCCTGATGACTTCAAAGAGCTGCCTCAGCCTCCTCAGAAAGACTTTCTTTTTTTCTTTTTTTTTTTGAGATGGAGTCTCTTTGTGTCACCCAGGCTGGAGTGCAGTGGTGCAGTCTCAGCTCACTGGAACCTCCGCCTCCCGAGTTCAAGCAATTCTCCTGCCTCAGCCTCCAGAGTAGCTGGGATTACAGGCGCGCATCACCACGCCCGGCTAATTTTTGTATTTTTGGTAGACACGAGGTTTCACCATGTTGGTCAGTCTGCTGTCAAACTCCTGACCTCATGATCCGCCCACCTTGACCTCCCAAAGTGCTAGGATTTCAGGCATGAGCCACCACATCTGGCCAGAAGGACTTTCATGTGAGTGAGAGATGAACTCCTATTCTGCATACGCCGTGTTATATGTGTTGCTCAGCTGAGCCTTGTCACAGCCTAATCAATGAGTTTTTTTGAGGCATTTTATTTAGAAGAGGCAGATACAGGCTCAAATCAATAGGGAAGAAGAGAGGGACTTGCAAATACTCTAAAGCCAATTTTTTTTTTCTTTACTTCTGCTTCTTTCCTTCCCTCCTGCCATTTCTCCCCTCTCCTTCTATCCAAACTTTGAACGCTTATTGAGTTCATTTTCTGTACCAGGCTTTCTGCCAGGCACTGTGGATACAGAGATGATTAAGACACACTGTCTGCTGTAGACTAGCAAGGGAGACAGAGGGCATGTAGACATGCCCTCAAGTCCATGTGACAAGATCACCATGGAGGGGTTTACAGGGTGATGGGTGGACTCAAAGAAGCAGCCACCTCTTTTGCTTGGAAAGGTGGGAGGAAGGGAGTCAGAGGATTACGTCTTGAGTTGATCCATGTGGGCTGCATAGAGGTTCTCCAGAAAGAGAAGAGAGGGAACAGCATTCCAAGCAGAGGAAATAGCTTGTGCAAAGTACTAGAAGTGTGCAGGAGCATTGAGCGCAAAGAGCTGTGGGCTCTTTGTGGTGGGAGTGAGGGGTGGAAGACAGCTGATCAGGGACTTGCTTTGCAGCAAAGTGCCCTGCCAGAAGTCAGCTCCCTTCTGAGGAGTGCTGAGCATGGAAGAAACAACTGCTTTGCAAACAAACACCTCATGTATTTATTTCCTCTGTTTTCCTCACATCTCTCATCTTTTCCCCTGAATGAGATGCCTCCTGGTTTCACTTAATTTCCACAGGAAACTGGAAGGAGCCACATCTGTCTAAATTCTCCCTAACTCACTCCAGATTTTCAGGGTCAGAATATGGCCGCTGAGAGTCAGGGTCTCTGTGGGGTCAGAGGTGACAGCCCCAGAATTGGGGTCTTGTGCCGAGCCCCTTATGGCAGGGGAGGCCAGGCATCAGTTCCCTGCACGATACAGATGTTCAGCAAGGATTTTGTTGGGAGCATAATCAGCGGCCAAGGCAGCCCCTGGAGAGGGGAATGTGGGCCTCATTCCCATGGGCTCCTGCCCAACGTTCCTTCGTTCCTGAGTTTTATGTTCCTGGGAGAGGCTGGAGGCCGAGCAATGCTCCAGCTCCACAGCAGCTGCCCCCTTCTCGGAAAGGCAACAACCTCTTTCCTCACATGGCCTTGGGACGTTGGACACCCAGCTCGGGGACATTGTTTTGTTCACAGCTGCATGCTCATGGCATTTATTTAGGGGACACTTTCTCTTCTGCCACCTACAAGGAGGCAGCTTGGAGCAGAAGGAGCAGAGCTGAGCCTCCAGAGATGGAGGTCTGTTCCTGGAGAAAGTGGCTCCCTCTCTTTGAGGCTCAGTTTCCTCATCTGTAAAACAGAGCAGGCTGGCCCAGGTGGCATCTAAGGTGATGTGTGAACAGCTGTGGACTTTGGAGTCATGCAGACTTGTGTTCTGCCTGGGCCAGTTGGCAGCTGCGTGGCCGTGGGGAGGTCCTGAACCTCCCCAGCTGCGGTGTTCTGTCCTCATCTGTGCATGGAGGACATGGGATCAGGTCATCTTGAAGGGCCTCGAGGGCTTAGTGATGAGGCCAGGAGAGCCCACTCTCAACAACGATGCTGAGGAAAAGCATTTTGTGTTCTCCCTCTTGGCAAAATATTTATAATTCTATGCCTGTTGGAACCAAGCAAGGTCAGCACAAAAGAATTGGCCCTCCACTATCCTAAGAAAACTAAAGCAGGAACAGTAGAGCAAATACCACATGCTCTCACTTGTAAGTGGGAGCTAAACATCAAGGACACGTGGCCCCGAGGAGGGGAACAACAGGCACAGGAGCCTACTTGAAGGTAGTGGATGGGAGGAGGGTGAGTTGGGTGCTATGCTCATTGTCTTGGTGGCAAAATAATCTGTACAGCAACCCCCTGTGACACTCAATTTACCTATATAACAAACCTGCATATATACCCCTGACCCTAAAATAAAAGTTAACAAAATAAATAAGTAAAACAAAACATATGGGAGACCGAGGCGGGTGGATCACCTGAGGTCGGGAGTTTGAGACCAGCCTGGCTAACATGGTGAAACCCCATCTCTACTAAAAATACAAAAATTAGTCGGGTGTGGTGGCACGCACCTGTAATCCCAGCTACTTGGGAGGCTGAGGCGGGAGAATTGCTTGAACTCGAGAGGCAAGGTTGCAGTGAACCAAGATCATGCCACTGCACTCCAGCCTGGGCAACGGAGCAAGACTCCATCTCAAAAAAAAATAATTTTTTTAACAAAAGAAGAGGCATCCATGATTTACCCTTCCTCCCACCCCTTGCCCCCAGTCTCCACAGATCAGTGGACTGTTTTTTCCAAAGCATAACTGGATGACTCGTTGGGTTGTCCTCTTCCTGCACCCCACCTTACTGTGTCCTCTCACTCACCCTGACCCCTTTCAGACCCTTCAGCAGTCCAAACTACAGCCTCTTCTGGAGCTTGCATTGTCCAAGGGTGACAAGAAGCAGCCCCAGTGGGTGAGGATGGGAGGGCAGGGTGGGGGTTTAGCTCCTCCAGCATCTTCATGTGCATCTCCCAAACCCTCCATCTCAGAAATTCAGGGTGCTATTGGTGTGTGATGATGTTGAGCCATCCAGGTCCCCCGTTCAAGGTGCTGGCAGTCCCCTGTGCCTGCTGCACTCCCGCCCTCCCCACCCACTGCTCCTGCTGGCTGCCTCCCCTCTTTCAGATCTTGGTGTCCTGTCACTCTCCATCCTGATGCCTTGTCTGTCCCCCATCTCATCTTTCAGAGCCCCGGGTGCTTTTTCTTTGGAGAACTCATCATATTTGTAGTTATACATGGGTCTCGTCCTCTCCCATTTGATGCCTGGCTCTTGCAATGGATTATAAATGCCAGGAGGGCAGAGGCCATGCTGGCCTTACCGTATTCCCATTGCCTCACATAGTGCCTGGGAAATAGTTGGCTCTGGACAAATCGTTGTTGAATGACTGAAGAAATGAATCACCCAGTGAATCTAGAATTTGGTGGCAATGTGAGCGCAACAGGAAGGCAAGTGGCCGCAAATCATGTTGTACTAGTTACAGACTTTGGCACTAACATGGTGGGCACTCAAATCCTAGTGGTGACCCTGGGGACTCCAGGAGGGCAGGCTATTTTCCCTCTCAGCCCCACAGAGGAGAGTATCTCAAGAAAGAGAAGGTGTTCACCTGTGTTGAGATGTTCCTGAAAGGCCAAGGAAGAAAAGGACTGAGGTATGTCTATTGGACTCAGTCACAGGAGGTTATGGTGACCTTGACAAGAACAGTTTTAAAGGACTGGGGAGTCGGAAACCAGACTGCAGGGGAGGGAGCAGGAGTCAAGGAAGTGGGAATTGTGAGTAGAAATTACTCACGGAGACTATTTCTAGACACTAGACCAGGAATGGGAGGAGAGATGTCATTAGCTGTTTCTTACCAAGAAGGATCACATCAAAATTCATTTGGAAAATTTTTGGAATAATAAAAATGATTCATCTACTAGATGGCCAGCAAAATAAGATGCCTCAACCCCTAGTCCTACTTCTCACCAAAAACTAGACTATGAGAATTGAAGGGACCTCAAAGGCCAGAGGATTCCAACACAGCCCTCTCATTCCATAGACGAGGTGCCTGAGGCCCAGAGAGGGTCAGGGATGTGCCCAAGGTCACACAGCAGATGAGGGGGAAAGACAGGTTTTGAAGCAGGCTCCTGTATGCTCAGCCCATGGCTTTTTCCCCATATTCCATGTCTTTCTTTCCCCTGTCCTTTCTAAACAGTCGTTATTGACTCCAGGAAATGGGAAAGATAGTTATTTTTAGTTTATTCAAAATGAGTAAAATGGGTAATGTTTTTTTTCTCCCCAATATATCAGATCCGAAATATGTCTTATGTAAGAGCTAACTGGGATGAGAAATGGTCGCACAGTGAGAACAAAGATTTCTTTGACTATTAAAAGTTCCAGAGTGAACCCTAAACTGGCCCAAATAACTGGGCTCAGCTCTCCTTGCCTAGCTGACAGAAGAAGGTTGGGCAGGGCTGTGTGTGTCTGTACATGTGCAAGTGTGTGTGTACAAGTGAGCACAAGTGTGTGTATAACAGGCTCCCTCTGTGGGGTGATTTCTAGAGCACCAAGACAAGCACCCTGAATCTGAACTTCTTTGATACTATTTATCATCATCATCATCATCATCATCATGAGTAATTCTACTAACATATGTATAAAATTTACCATCTTAATTATTTTAAGAGTATACTTCAGTGTGTTAAGTACACACATGTTGTTTGTTGTGCAACCATTACCACCATCCAGAATTTTCCAGAAAACTTTTTATCTTGCAAAACTGAAACTCTGTACCCATGAAACAACAGCTTCCCATTCCTTCCTCCAAGGCCCTGGAAATCACCATTCTAATTTCTGACTCTATGAATCTGACTTCTCTAGAGACCTCCTGTAAGTGGAATCATATGATGTTTATTCTTGTGTGACTGGCTCGTTTCACTCTCAGGACTTCTTTCAGTGTGTGCTCCTCATGCCCCCAACACCCCATGAGACACCCTCATTTCAATACCTCTTTGAGTGTTTCCTTGTGCCCCCAACTGCCCATGAGACACCCTCCTTTCAGCACCTCTTTGAGTGTGATCCTCGTGCTCCCAACCCTCCATGAGACAACCTCCTTTCAGTACCGCTTTGAATGTGATCCTTGTGTCCCCAATACCCCATGAGACATCCTCTCCTTTGGCAGAGGATTTGATCCTTGGTTGAAGAGTGGCAAGCAACCCTGGGAAGGAAGCATTTCAAGCTTTATTGGAACTTTTTCTTTAGTGCCAGTCAATGGATAATTCCTTGAGAGCAGGTTTTGATAGGGTAGGGGTGACCCTAGTTGAAAGCCCTGATTGATTATGGGTGGGAAGAGGGAGAGACCTGATGACAGAGAAAAAAAATTGTTCTGCCTGGAAAAATGTTGCTGGGATCATTATAAGTGAATCCACGAAATAGCAATTAGTTTTATAACAAGCCACTTCTGACATTTATGTCCCTAGGTGTGTTGACCTCATGTTATGCTCTGACTTGATTCCTTGGGGAGTCATAAATTAAGTGTCCTCAAAGGACTGCTAGCAATAATCATAATAATCCTCTTGTATTTTGGTTGCATTCTACACTTTGGGACACACTTTCATTTATATTATTTTATTTGATCAAAATGACAACAATGTGTGCTCGTTAGAATATGACTTATCATCTTCATTTTTCAGGTGAGGAAGCCGAAGTTCAGTGGGTGGAAGGGACCTGCTCAGGCTTGTACAATCACTTGTTGGTATCACTGGATTGAGAACCCAAGTCTTTAGCCCAGGCCTTTTTCCACTGTTCCACATTTTGCTGGAGTTTTCTCCCCTCTACCTCTCATTTGACCTCAGACTCAATCCTTCTCCAAGAATAACGCGTCACTATGCAGATGCTCAAATTAGAAACTCCAGAGTTGTCCTTGACATTCCCTTGCTCCAGTTTCATATCCAGTCTTCAATTAAACCCTGTCGTTTTTAATTCCTGAATATGTTTTCAATACTCCCGCTTCTCTGCAAGTCTGGACCGGCAGCGTCCAGGCCTTTTTCTCTTACCTGGAGTTAATCCTTTAGACTGTCATGATGCCATTTCTGTTCTTCTCTTCCTCTGTTATTTCCCGGGAAATGTGGATTTGAACAAGGTTAGACGAGTTTTCATATTGTAGAATTTCTCAGACCTTCTGATCTGCTAAGAATGGTCATGGTGACTTGCCAAAGTAAGGGGTTGTGTGTTTGCCATACCCTAAAATTACTTGATCTTTCCTGGACCCCTGCGGTTTATCTCTACCCTCTCCCCCATCCATTTTCCACGCTGAAGCCGCATACACCTCTGCTAACTGCAAAACTGCCCTCCCCATCCCTCCCCATGCTCCTCCTACCCCTCTGGCCTTCCAGTCCCTCTGACATGTGGTAAGATACACATGCCCTGCCAGGGTCCCCTCTGCCTGACTTCTCTATCACCAGCTGTGGCAGTGTCGGTTGCTGGTGCTCACAGCTGTCTCCTCTGGGAGCCACCTTACCAGGGAGGCCACATTCCCTGGAGCTCCAGAAGCATCTCATAACCAATATCTGACATGGTGCTTGCAGTGCCTTTTACTTATTTCTCTTTCTCTTTATTTTCCAATAGCTGGGACTACAGGTGTATACAACCATGCCCAGGTAATTTTTATTTATTTATTTATTTATTTATTTTTTTAGAGACAGGGTCTACCTATGTTTCCCAGGCTGGTCTTGGACTCCTGGCATATTAGTCTGTTTTCACACTGCTGTAAATAACTACCTGAGGGTGAGTAATTTATAAAGAGAAGAGTTTTAATTGACTCACAGTTCTGCATGGCTAGGGAGGCCTCAGGAAACTTACAATCATGGCAGAAGGTGAAGGGAAAGCAAGGTATATTTTACATAGTGGCAGAAGAGAGAGACAGAGAGAGAACAAGTGGGGGAGGTGACGCACTTTAAAACCATCATTTCTCATGAGAACTCACTCACTCTCATGAGAACATCATGGGGGAAACTGCCCCCATGATCCAATCATCTCCCACCAGGCCCCTCCTCTGACACGTGAGGATTACAAGTCGAGATGAGATTTGGTGGGGGACACAGAGCCAAACCATTATCACCTGGCTTCAAGTAATGCTCCTGCCTCAGCCTCCTGAGTTGTTGGCGTGAGTCACTGCTCCCAGCCCAAGATTTATCGTTGTTAAAAGGTCATCATGCTGGTGAGGAGATCAGAACCCAGGCATTCTGATACACAGCTGGTAGGAAAATAAGTTAGTACCACCATTTGAATATGGCCCTTTGGGGCAGAGAGTTTGTCTCTGTGTTCACCCCTGGATCTCCAGTGCCCAGAACCATGCCTGGCACTTGGGCATTCAATTAAAATTTGTTGAATGAATGTAAGACAATTTGACAATACATCATGAAGCTTAAGTTTTCATATCCCATTGTTTAGTAATTCCACTTCCTAAGGAAACTCTTAAAAATTAGAACAAAGATATTTGTATAAGGACATTCCTCACATTCATTTTTACACTCATAAAACTGGAATCAACCTAAGTGTCCACAGGATGGTGACTAGCTTAATTACGGCACATCCACACTGAGAAATCTGATATAATTGATAAAAATAACATATTCAAAGAATATTGGGCATATAGGATTATGCTATTGATAAATACTAAGTGAAAACAATTTAAAACTCTATATACAGTATAATCTTAATTTTGGGGGAAAAAAACCCAAATCACACTTGTTAATAGTGGGTTGCAGTGATTTTACTTATTTCTTGTTCCCTTTATTTGCCAAAATGCCCACAATGAATATGTGTTGCTTTTGTAGTCAGAAAAAAAAAAGCTTTGAAAAGGAAAGCATAGTTTATAACAAAATTGTGAGCAGCTAGGAAAAATGGGAATAACTTGTAATAGTATTTTTCCCACTAATACTTCATAATAGATCATTTTATGGTAGGTTAAAGAACATACCTCCTTATTAAATTGGCCTGGCTTTGTCTGGACAACAATGAGGATTAGATTTCATGAGACACTTTGCGTTGTTTTCATGCTCTTAGTGTATATTTTTCCATGACTTGGAAAATCTTAAAATACTGGCTCCACTTAAAAAAAAAAGTTTCACAACTCCTTTGACTGGAATTGATTTCTCCTGTGGCTCCAGGGTCTGTAAAAGGCATCAGGATGCCACAAGGCATTGACCTTTATTCTTCGCCTCGGTCAGAGAATTTCCCTATGACTGGCTCAAGGTTTCCAAGAGGAAGGCAATTAAATGACCTAGCACAATTGCATGGATCCTCGGCCCTGGGCTTATCTTGATTAGGAGGAAGTGGCTATCTAGTTGTTCCAAATTTAGAGCAGAAAAGAGCCGGATGTCTAAGACTATCACACAGAGAAAGCCTTAACCCATTGGGGCTTTTGCCCTACTCACCACTTCCCTGATATCTGGCTGTGTCCATCTTGACGCAGAGCACAGGGAGCTTTGGGTTACAATTTTCCCCTTCCCAGCAAGTCTGTCCTAGCTTCAAAGTCCACTGAGAGGCTCCTTTCTGTGCTAAGATTGAGAAGATGCTGGGCACATACCTCCTGAGAGATTTCGTGGCTTATGCTAAAGGTTCTGTCATCTCTAAGACTGAGTTCAGAATCCTGAGGCTGGTGGTCAAGACCCTTCACCATCTGGCCCCCTGCTGCCCCTCTCCCATTGTTCATCTCTACTACAGTGACAGAGAAGTGTTTATGAGAGTGAACTCCAGGGACTAGAAACAGATGTTGTCCCTGCCACCAGGAAGCTTACGGAATAGTAGGAAGGTAGAAATTCAGCACACGGAGGGGAGTACATTCGCAGCCCGGCAGAGATCTGGCCTTAAAGACCAGATTGGCTTCTTCCTAGTTGTATGATTTTGGACAAATTATTTTATACCTCTCTGTCTTTGCCATCTCATCTGTTAGAGGGGGATATTAATATTACTAATAATACCAAATTCATAAGATGTTTGTGAGCTTTACATTATTTGATATGTGTGAAGCACTCAGTACAATGTCCGCTATATACCTTTGTCCCTCAGTATCCATGGGGCATTGGTTCCAGGGCCCCTCCAAGGATACCAAAATTTAAGGATGCTTAAGTCCCTGGTATAAAATGGTGTAATATTTGCATAGAACATGTGCACAACCCCCAGATACTTTAAATCATCTCTAGATTGCTTATAATAGCAAACACAATGTAAATGCTATGTAAATAGTTGTTATACTGTATTGTTTAGGAAATAATGACAAGGAAAAGAGTCTGTACATGTTCAGTACAGAAGACACCATCCATTTTTCCCCCTGAATAATATTTTCAATCCACAGTTGGTTGAATTCACAGATGCAGAACCTGCAATATGGAGGGCCGGCTGTACTCAATGCTTAGTACATGTTAACTCTTAGAGAAAATTCATTCACTTAGAGAAAATTTGCTGAGCTCTGACTAGGTGCTGGGCACTGTGCCAGATGCTGTAAATTCCAAAGGGGATAATGCACAGTCCCTGGCGTCATTCCAAAAAAACCCCGTATTTTACTGATGGAGATGCAAATGGGAACGGACCAAGGTAGCATAGCTCCAGGCACCTTGTTCCAGAAACTCTGGTCTCCTCTCTTTTCCAAATGTGCCATGCACTTCCATGTTCTGTGCTGTTGTTCCTTTTCTCTAAAAAGCTTTCCCTTTTCCTCAGCCACTGAAAACATTCAAGATCTGGCTTATGGTGTGTCATCAACACCGTGAAGCCTTCCCTGACCCCCAAACCAGAATCATGGACTCTCCTGTGTCTCCATCGTGCTTTGTATAAACTCTCTGCCTCTCATCTTCCCCTCAGCCAGGGCTGGTCATTAGAGGAACATCTCCCAATAGGCTGGAAGCTCTTTGAAGGCAAGTTTTATGCTTCACTTATTTCCATGTCCCAGTGTCCAGCACAGGGCCAGGCACATTGTAGATGTTTAGGAAGTGTTTGTTGATTGAATGAATGAATGAAAGCACATCTCACATCATAGAATAAATTGCTGCACTGATAGTGAGGAGAGATGCTTCCTTTCCAGCATAATATTCTATGAGACCACAGAATTTGCTCTGCAAATAGTTGGGTTCCTTCTACTTATTCCATCTGCTGCTGTGAACAAGGCTAAGTTTACTTAATCATAGGTAAGTTGGAGAAAGTGCCGGCCCAAGGGGTCTGGCCTGAGCATGGCTTTCCAATTGTAATATTGTCAGGAGCATCCTGAAAGGGTTAAGACCCTTGCCTTGGTGCTGGTCTTGTGCCAGTCCATTTGGTGTTCACAGTGTAGAGATTATTTAACTGGAAATGGAAGCCAGTATTAAGGCCAATATTGCAACAGAAATAATTGAATGTAAAAACCACATGTGCTTTGGGGACTGGGACACAGAAATTTAATTTTAGTTTCCTCACTTATTTGTCGGGTGATGTAGGGAGGCTCTTTCCTCTCTCTGAACCTCATCCATTAAATGGGGATCATAGGAGGCTGGAGTTGGGGAGGTTGGACTGATCAATCTGTAAGTTCCTTCCGGCTGTGATATGCCCTGTCTGTCACTTCTATGATATCAGATAAATGAAAGGCCAACTGAAACAAATTGCTGGAAAGTGATGTGGAGGGAGTTCTGGGAGAGGATCCCAGTCCTCATGAGGTCAAGCTCATAGTTTAGGAACCAAAAGCTCAGAAATGCTCTGAAACCACAGACGATCAAATCCACCCACTGGAGATTCAGCACATATTTGCTCAAAATTGCAAACTAAAAGCAGACATTTTTGAGTTGTTTGGAGGATGCATGGCTAGACCTAACCTGGGCGGTGAGTGTACAGGGCAGTTCATGCAAATGGGAGAGACCCTGTCTGCTGTCTGGGACCTGCATCCTATTGGCGGGAAGGGCGTTCCTGGCCTGCCCACCCTGGCCATCAGGACATAAAGATTCCTTGCTTGGGTCTTGCTCAGGTACTGTGCTTTAAGAACCTGAATGTTCTTTTGACTCACTATTTTATAGAGACAGCAGCAGGGTCAGTTGAGAAGAATTGAAACCCACTCTCAGAAGTGACTTGCAGCGCATACTTTTTTGAAAAAAATTGAGAGGTAATTCACACACCGTAAAATTTGCCCTGTTCGAGTATCTAATTCAAGGGTTTTTAGCATATTCCCAAAGTTCTGCAATCATCTCTGCTGTCTAATTCCTGAATAGTCTCATCACTCCAAAAGATATATTGAGGCCAGGGGCAGTGGCTCACACGCCTGTAAGCCCAGCACTTTGGGAGGCCGAGGTGGGTGGATCACGAGGTCAGGAGTTTGAGACCAGCCTGGCCAATATGGCGAAACCCCGTCTACTAAAAATACACACACACACGCACACACCCACGAAAGCTGGGAGTGGTGGTACACACCTGTAGTCCCAGCTGCTCAGGAGGCTGAGGCAGGAGAATCAGTTGAACCCGGGAGGCAGAGGTTGCAGTGAGCCGAGATTGCGCCACTGCACTCCAGCCTTGGCGACAGAGCAAGACTCCGTCTCAAAAATATATATCTCTATCTCTTGTGTATGTTAGCAGTCACTTCCTACTCCCCTCTCCCCTGTGCCCTTGGCAACTACTTTTGTCTCTGTGGATTTGCTTATTCTGGACTTTTCATATAAATGGAATCATACAACACGTAGCCTCCTGGGTCTGGCTTCTTTCATTTTGCATAACGCTTTTAAGGTTCATTTGTGCTGACTATATTTTTCTGAACAATTAAAAATTACAGGCTCCTGCAGCACAGTGCAGGTGCCACCTGGCCCAACCAGCTTCTTGGACCACGGCCAACCTGAGTGCACCTTCATCACCATCAAGCCAGACAGTGTGCAGCATGGCCTGGCTGGCAAGATCGTGAAGTGCTTTGAGCAGAAGAGATTCCACCTCGTGGCCAGGAAGTTCCTCTGGGCCTCTGAGAACATCTGAAGCCGCACTACTTTCACTGGAAAGACTGCCCATTCTTCCCGAGGCTGGCAAAATACAGGAACTCAGGGCCTGTCTTAGCCATGGTCTGGGAGGGGCTGAATGCGGTGAAGACAGGCCGAGTGATGCTGGGGGAGACCAATCCAGTGGATTCTAAGCCACACACCATTTGCAGGGACTTCTCTAGTCAGGTGGGCTGATGCATCATTCATGGCAATGGCTCAGTAGTAAGTGCTGAAAAAGAAATCAGCCGGGCTGGGCATGGTGGCTCACACCTGTAATCCCAGCACTTTGGGAGGCCAAGGAGGGTGGATCACGAGGTCAGGAGATCAAGACCATCCTAGCTAACACGGTGAAATCCCGTCTCTATTAAAAATACAAAAAATTAGCTGGGCGTAGTGGCGGGTGCCTATAGTCCCAGCTACTCGGGAGGCTGAGGCAGGAGAATGGCATGAACCCGGGAGGCAGAGGTTGCAGTGAGCCAAGATTGTGCCACTGCACTCCAGCCTGGGTGACAGAGCGAGACTCAGTCTCAAAAAAAAAACCAAAGATGTCAGCTTATGGTTGAAACAACAGATGCTGGAGTGGATGTGGAGAAATAGGAACGCTTTTACACTGTTGGTGGGAGTGTAAATTAGTTCAACCATTGTGGAAGACAGTGTGGTGATTCCTCAATGATCTAGAATGAGAAATACCATTTGACCCAGCAATCCCATTACTGGGTATATACCCAAAGGATTATAAATCATTTTACTATAAAGACACATGCACACGTATGTTTATTGTGGCACTGTTCACAATATCAAAGACTTGGAACCAACCCAAATGTCCATCAATGATAGAC
This sequence comes from Homo sapiens, assembly GCF_000001405.40. Taxonomy (NCBI): domain Eukaryota; kingdom Metazoa; phylum Chordata; class Mammalia; order Primates; family Hominidae; genus Homo; species Homo sapiens. The sequence goes on from NC_000009.12 coordinate 98,891,442, forward strand.
TGGATAAAGAAAATGTGGCACATATACACCATGGAATACTATGCAGCCATAAAAAATGATGAGTTCATGTCCTTTGCAGGGACATGGATGAAGCTGGAAACCATCATTCTCAGCAAACTAACACAAGAACAGAAAACCAAACACCGCATGTTCTCACTCATAAGTGGGAGTTGAACAATGAGAACACATGGACACGGAGGGGAACATCACACACTGGGGCCTGTCGGGGGCTGGGGGGCTAGGGAAGGGATAGCATTAGGAGAAATACCTAATGTAGATGATGGGTTGATAGGTGCAGCAAACCACCATGGCAGGTAGCATGGCACCTATATAACAAACGTGCATGTTCTGCACATGTATCCCAGAACTTAAAGTATATATATATTAAAAAAAACCAACCAAACAAACAAAAAACAACAACAAAAAAGAAATCAGCCTATGGTTTAAGCCCAAAGAACCAGTTGACTACAGATCTTGTGCTTATGACTGGGTCTATGCATGATAGGTGGACACAGTAGCAGTCTCTTTCAAGAACTGCTTGGAGTGTCCTTGGACATAGCTCTTCATTCCACTGACTTAGAAGCAGAAGCAACAGAATTGATCATTCTTTTCTAGAGCATATTTACCCATAAAGCCATGGAAACTAGAAAAAAATGTGTATATGCCTATCAACCTTCCAATAGCATACATGTGAGCTTGGTGTGATCTACCAACCTCTACTTAGTAGAACGAATAAAGGGCTGGGCTAGTCTAGCTAGGTCTGTTCCAGGTCCTCTCTTCTTCATTAGTCCAGTTCAATTTTGGCCTTTTAAGAAAGATGCAGACCTTTAAAATTAAGAATAAAATCTTTGATAGTTTCATTTTTTTGTTCCATCTTTGCTGGCAGGTTTAAAAGTCTTTTCCCTGCCCAATGTTATTTAAATACATGTACATATTTTCCTGCGTGTGTACTTAAAACATACTTTCATGGTTTCCTTTTTATGTTTACAGCTTTAATTCTTCTGGAATGTGTGAGTGGTGTGAGGTAGGTATCTACTTTTATTTTTTCTCATGTGGTTAGCAAGCTGCACTGCCACACATTTTTTCCTCATTGACTTGGAAACAACAGCATTACCATATCCTACTTTTGACATATAGTTGAGATTACTGATGTACTTTCTTTCCTGCATTGGTCTGTCTTTCCTTCAGCTGCTAACATACTGTTAAATTTCTTGCCCCTTTATGATATAATTTAATATTTGTTAGGATAAGTTCATATTATCACTCATATTAAAAATCCCTAGTCATTGCCGTGTGTTTATTATTCTAGCTTAGCTTTGTTAATGTAATATGCTTCTTTTGTGTAATGTGCATTGCTGCATTATTTAAGAATTTTAAATTCTGTCTTAGCAAACAATTAGAAGCCAGTAGCTGTGTAACATGTGATAGATAAAGTTGGCCGAGCCTACATGGGCTGAACAGAGACAAGACGGGATGGGAGGACCAAGGAAACACTACATATTCATGAGGCCTGAGACACCAAATGTTTATGACAGCTACACCATCCTTAGACCAGCTCTAACTGCCACCTTGGATCTCGAGGACAAGAGCCACCTCTGAGATGACTGAAAAGAGAATCACAAAGGCCTGGGTCTTTGGTGTCCTTGAGCTACAAAAGCTCCCTCTAACTTAGGCGAGAGTGGAAGACACTTCTATTTTGTTTAAGCCATGATTACATGAAGCTGAACATAATCCCAACTAAATCACCCCTAATTTCATTTTTATATTTGGTTGTCTGAATTAGAATTTGCAGGACGGTGTTAATAACACTGATAACAATGGACATTCTTTTGGTTACTGATGCAAACAGGACTGCTGCTGGTATTTCGCCAATAAGCTTCTTGCTGGATTTGGTTTTACATAGAGTACATTTGTCACTTTAAGAAAATGCATCATCAATGATGGTGATAATGAAATGTTAAATTTTCTCAGATTTTTTTTGTCATCTATCAAAATAATTACATGGCATTTCTGCTTTGCTATATTGAGATAATGAATTATACTAAGGTTTTTCTAAAGTTGAAACATACATACAACCCCAATCTTTTTTTCTGTATCTCTTCTGTTCACTTCCTTACATAGATGCTCCGTTATAGCTCTTGGCTCTCTCCTCAACCTTCCTTTCATCATTTTTGTCTCCTTAATAATTTCTTCTGAGTTCTGGGGAAATTGCTCAAGTTTGTCTTCTGATTTCTTGCTCTCCAAAGTGTGATCCAGGGACCAGCGGTATTACCTGAGAGTTTGTTAGAAATGAAAATTCTTGGACCTCCACCCCAGACCTACTGAATCTGCATTTTAACAAGATTCCCAGGTAATTCATGTGCACACTGAAATTTGAGAAATGTTCTAAAATTCCTGGCTGGGCGTGGTGGCTCATGCCTGTAATCTCAGCCCTTTGGGAGGCTGAGGCTGGTGGATTGTCTGAGCTCAGGAGTTTGAGACCAGCCTGGACAAATACAAAAAGTTAGCCGGGCGTGGTGGCGGACACCTGTAATCCCAGCTACTTGGGTGGCTGAGGCAGGAGAATGGGTTGAACCCGAGAGGCAGAGGTTGCAGTGAGCTGAGATCACGCCACTGCACTCCAGCCTGGGCAAGAGTGAGACTCTGTCTCTCTCTCTCTCTCTCTCTCACACACACACACAGACACACACACACACACACACACACACACAAGAAATGCTGTAAAATTCTGGCAAAAGAGGGAACCCTTTCCAGGTTTTCACCGACAATGCTGCTTTTTCCCATTATTACAGTAGTTTGGTTATTTTAGTACAAATTTAGGAGAAGAAGGCATTGGGTCACCACTGAGGATCAGAACTCTTAGTGGCAGGATATGAGGAAGGGCAGTTGGCTGCTGTATCTGATGACATGAGATGAAGCTGACAGTCCAAAGGTCATCAAAATCACGAGCAGGCCTCAGTCCAACAAGAAAGAATCCTTGTGTTACATTTATGAAGGGCAGTAGGCCTCCTCCAGAGGGTCTTGCCCACATTCATTTGACAAATTTACAGATGCCAGCTGGTATCTACACGAAAGCCTCTTGTCCTAAGCTGATAGAGAGGAATAAAGGGATTCCTGTAGAATGGTTTGGTTTCAAGAATACATTTTCCTCTTTTCTAGGTAAGTGGAAGAAACTCCTGAGGTTATTGATGAGACAGATGTCCTTCTGTGCCCCAGCACTGTGCCTGAGGGCTGCCTGGGGGTTGGGGGAGGGAACTCACAGCCCTGAATTATGAGTATTTGCATATAGTAAGATACATTCTTTAAAAGAAGACATCATATTGCCTATACCCAATTCTCATCTGTCATGGCAGATTGGCTGGAAAAATCGTGGGAAGGCACAAAAAGCTATTGAAATGATTCTAAGGAGAAAAATAATCTTTCAGACAAACTGGCTCATTCCTTATTTATCGCCACAAAACCCTTTATTCCCTGGAGAATGTTGAAACAATACTGGCGCATAACTCTCATTGTGGAATTGAAAAAACATCCTACCTTTCTTAATAGTTTCATGAAATTGTTGTCTCAACAGGAAATTCTGGTCATTGTCACACATTCTTCTTGTTTATTATTAGTAATAATAACCCTTGCATCAGTATTGTGCTCTAAACTTTACAAAGTTTCTCCACACAAAGTAGCTCATTGATCTCTCCTGACAATCTTGTGAGACAGAGCAGGGTGGGTGGGCACTGATGTGCCCATTTCATGGAACTGCGGCTCAGAGGAATTAAAGGACTTCCTCATGGGCATAATGGGCAGTAAATGGCAGCTGCAGGGCTCACACTTAGGTTTTCTAGCTGCAGGGGAGATTTCCAAAGCACATTTGGCCAAGCTTGGCCAAGCGTCTTTGATCCTTACTCTTCCCAGTACAATTATTTGGACTTTTTGCAGTTTGTGCATATACAAAACAATAAGGAGGATCACAATCCACATGGAAAGTTCATTCTCCAAAGTTTTGAGCTAAAATGTAATGCTTTAGTGAGGTGGCATTCTTCAGATTAGACTTAGATTGTTAGACATCTCCTGTTCCCTAGAAACTGTCTATGTAAATCCCCTTGTACTTATTACACACCATTGTTGAACTTATGCCAGGAATTCACTGCAGCCTCAATAAGGTGTGATTTATTACAAATCCGGAACAAATAACTGTTTATAAGTTCTTTTTTGTTCTCTAAATTTGATTCATCTCACCCGATGAGTAGGGTGAAGGCGTCTTATTTCTGTTGTTCTGTAAACTATCTTCTACTCCTCATTTTTTCCGCACTGAACATTTCAAATTCCCCCAAATGTTCCACTTATTTTCCCCACTCAAAGCCCTTGCATATATTCTCATTCCTAGAATACCCCTTATCTTCTTTACCTTCACCACTTTCCTCACTCTTCCTGCCCTTAAAAGGACCTAGTTAAAGAGCTATTCCTCTGTGAGGCCTTTCGGATCCAAAGTTAGGCATACTTGCGTTCCTAAAAGCACTTTGAATGCATCTCTGTCATACCATGGACCTATCACAGTGTGAAATCTATTTCATTTAGCTCCATGTAAACTGGGAATTCCAACTGGATTGGGAGCTACTTTGGGGAAGGAAGGACATCTTATTCCTCTTTATTTCCCTTGAACTTGGAACCTGACAACTGATATGAATTCATTAAGGGATGATTTAATTTCCTTCAGGTTTTATTGCATCAGGAACTCCTTTTGACCAGGTATCACTTTAGTTTTTTCAGTTTAGGTGATAGGAAAGTCTTAAAGGGGACTATTCAAATACGGTAGGAGTGAGTTATTATAGCCAATTATTTTAAAGAACAGGAGGTAAAGTAAAGTTGTCTCCAGATTTATCTTAGATTCTATTCCTTTATGTCACCAGGTGAGAGTTACTTTAGTGTAGAGCTGCTTTTTTCAACATGCATTATGATTTTATCCAGGACCAGCCTATCTAGAGGAATTCTGAATTGTCTTTGGTACCAGGGCATTTTCCCCCCAGTTCCTTTACAGTTCAGGAATTGATATTCAATAGTTCTCAACCTTGACAATACATTGGGATCACTTAGGGAGTTTAAAAAATACTGGGGTGAAATTTTCATGGGTCCTCTGAAGTCTTTCACTGAGTTTGAAACTGTACATGCACAGAGTGACACTCTGAGAGACCCGGCAAGTAATAGCTACTGGAGGACGGTGAGCTCAACAGAGATTTTGGTAGTGTCAGTGCTGACAGATGTTAGAATTCTGACTAACCGTATTAGAGTCACCTTACTGAATACCCTAGACATTCAGTTGAGACTGCAGAAAGGCTGTCTTATTATCTTTAGAAAAAAGTGAACTGCCTTCCAGAAAGAAAGTTACAACACTCTTCAGAGGAAGTGAACACAGTCCAGACTCTCAATGTGGTAGCCACAATGTGCAGCAAAGAAATTAAAATTACTAGAAATATAAAGATGTAGGGAAAGTCATGCCAACTAGTTGAAAGAACAGTCAGTAAAAACAGATCCAGGGATGATACAGATAATGAAATTAGTAGACAAAGAATTTAAAATAGCTATTATCAATATGTTTGTGGATTTCACAGTTTGTGAAAAATCCACAATATGTTTGTGGATTTTTATCATTTCCATTTTTCTGATGAGATTCCCCCATCTGATAAAAAAAAAAAAAGAGAACCAAATAGAAATTCTAGAACTAAAATTTTACTATCTGAAATTTTAACAAATTCACTAGATTGGATAAGAGCAGATTGGACACTGCAGAAGAAGTGCAAAGTAGTTGAAAAGGCAAATATGTGGGCACATTAACAGATTTGTTTTCTTAGTATCTCAGCTAGGTGATCAAGGTCATCATCAATAGTCATGAATTACGTTGATGGTACGTACCCTTGGTATGATGTGATGAGAATAGCATGTTACCTCTATGGTCTTCCTCCCCGTAACTCATAACCCCAGTATCATCATGAGAAAAACATTAGAAAAATCCAACTGAGGTACATTCTACAAAATACCTGATAAATACTCCTCAAAACCGTTAAGGTCATCAAAAACAAGGAAAGTTTGAGAAACTGTCATAGCCAAGAGAAGTCTAAGGAGACACAATTACTAGATATTATGTTGCATCATAGGTGAAATGTTGAACACGAAAAGGACATCAGGTAAAAAGTAAAGAAACCTGAATAAAGAATGCGCTTTGGTTAAGAATGTACCAATAATAGTTCATTAATTGTAACAAATATACCATACTAATGTAAGATGTTAATAACAATTGAATCTAGGTGCAGGATATGTGAGAACTCTTGCTACTACCTTTGTCATTTTTTTGTAAATCTAAAAGTGTTCTAAAATAGTTTATTTAAAATAATAAAATGACAATAACAAGTGCTGTCAAGGACATGGAGCAACTGAAACTCACATTCTTTGCTGGTAGGAATGTAAAACGGTATAGTTTTGGAAGTTTCTTATGAAGTTAAACATGCACTTATCACATAACCCAGTAATCTCACTCCTGGGCATTGAGCCAAGAGAAATAAAAACATATTTCCTTATGAAGACTTGTATGTGAATGTTTACAGAGGTTTTATTCAGAGTCACCACACACTGGAAGAAACAAAAATGTCCACCAACTTCTAACTGAATAAATAAATTGTGTACATCCTTACAATGGAATACAACTAAGCAATAAAAAAGGAATGATCTCTATCATAAAAACCATGAATGACTCTGAAAAGCATTATGCTAAGTAAAGGAAGTCAGACATAAGAGCTCATACTGTATCATTCTATTTACATGCAATTCTAGAACAAGCAAATCTAATCTAAGGTTAAAAAAATCAGAACAATGGTTGCATCGTTAGCTCTGAAGACTGAGGGTGAGGATGATTATGAAGCGGCAAGAGGAACTTTCTGAAGTGATGGAAATGTTCTACATCTTGATAGGCTGTGGGTTACATGGGTGAATGCATTTGTGAAAACATATCAAGATGTGTTCAAAGGTATGCAAAGTGTACCTCAATTTTCAAAGAGAAGGTTAAAATGTGGATGCCCGAGATTCTAATTTTAATTATTCCATATGTAGCCTTTGAGATTTTTAAAAGCTCCCATAACCAACGTTAAAAATCACTGTTATAAGTATTTGCCTAGTGATAGGATCACCCGTCATTTCTGTTTGTCATGTGAATGCTTCTCTCTGGCTTTGTTGTGTGGAACCTGGAAGTTGGATGCATGGGTTTACATACCTGCTTGGTCGTTGGGTCCCCTGAAGATGGTTAATTGGCAAGCAACAAGTGCCAAAGGCTCGAGAAGAAGACAGGAGCAGGATGGAGCCCCCAAAAGCCCCTCCAGCTCTTCTCTTTCTACTTCTCTGAGAATGATCCTGCTTATTCAGGGAGTGGATTGTTATGGTGATGGAAAAAGTAAATAGTAAGGGGATCAGAGGAAGTATTATTATGAAGCAGGGGGAATTCTTACTCCTACATAATTTTAGATAATTGTCTATTCCTCTTCAGTCAGCTGGTATCACACGGACAACAAAGTCCCACTGGATTCTGCAAGCCGACCTGGTCTTAGTTCTGATTTTTGTCCTTTTCGTGACTATGGAGAGGCTGTAAAAAGAAGGAGAGCAGTACACATCCACGTGCTGAGCATATGCCATCCATTCTGCTGGGAACTTTGTTTCTTCTTTCTTCCTCTAGGTTAACACTAAAGCAACACCATTTTCTTGTTAGCAATTTTTCCTCTTTTGAAAATGACTGGCACCCCATTAACATTTTTAGGACAAAAAAAGCTTTTCTTCAAACTTTATCCAACATTAATAAGCTGCATAATAAAAACTGAAATAATAAATCATAACAGTTATTCCATGGATACTCTGTGTCTGATTTTCAGAACACATGGCCAAGGTTCCAGAGAGGTCTCATTAAAAACTAAAACTTTGACTAATGATAACTAAAACAATTTCATTGAGGGTGCACTAATAAATAAATGTATAAACTGAGACCCTCCCAATTGAAAGGAATTTTGCAGAACATCCAACTCCGTAGGTATCTGTGTAGCTGCTGAGTGGTACTCAGTTTCTCGCACACCTCTGAGAACAGAGAAGCTCGTAAGACAGCCCAATGTGTCTCTGAGCAGTTCTGACTGAAAGCTTTTCCTGGCATGGAGCCACAACCCACATTTCTGTAACACACAGAGAATGTAAAATCCCTTTTCCTGTTTGCTGTCCACAAGCTTTCTCTGCAATAAGTTAAACATCTCTAATTGCTTAAAGCTTGCCTCCTGTGATTTGGATTTTTTTTGCACCCATCAGCTTGCTTTCTCTCTCCCACATGAGTCTTAGTTCATTTCCATGCAAATCTAACACGATTCATCTGAACCCCTATTATCTGAGCACCTTCTCAGGGTCAGGCACTAGGCTAAGTGCTGTGGAGAAGACAGGGACAAATCAGGCTTGGCCTTGTAGGAGAGGGAAGACTTGTCCACAAAGGCCCCCAGTACCAGGCAGGCTGTTATATGTGGCAGGAGAGAGAGAGACAGTGTTCTCTTTCCACCTCAATTCCCAGGCTTGAGTCTTGCATTGCAGCACATCAGCTAAAGTATACAGCTATGCAATTTCAGGGCTTGGTTAGAGGGGGCTTCCCATCAATTTTCTTATTTTTTTTTTGAGACAGAGTCTTGCTCTGTTGCTCAGGCTGGTGAGTAGTGACACGATCTAGGCTTACTACAACCTCCGCATCCCGGGTTCAAGTGATTCTCATGCCTCAGCCTCCCGAGTAGCTGTGATTACAGGCATGCGCCACCATGTCTGGCTAATTTTTGTATTTTTAGTAGAGACAGGGTTTCGCCATATTGACAGGCTGGTCTTGAACTCCTGGCCTCAAGTGGTCCCTCCGCCTTGGCCTCCCAAGGTGCTGGGATTACAGGCATGAGTCACCGTGCCTGGCCTAAAAATTTGATGAATGCATGTCAACTGACTAGGTCTCTGTGTTTCAATTCCAAATTTTTGGAAGACAGAATCTGATTGGCCCATCCTGTGCCAGAGATCCACCCCTTGTTCAATCAGCTGTCAGCAGAAGGAGCAGGGTCACCTGATACAAAAGACCACAGCTTCTGGGCTAAGAAGAAGGAGAGTTCTATAAAATATGAGTGTGATTGGGGAGGAAGTAATCGACTTCTTAGATATATTATGGGTAGTATTATGGATAGCAGATCCATAATATATAATATATGTAGGCAAACATAAGCAATGTGTAATATCTGTAAGCATGAATCCTGAACGATGGGAGTTATCCCCATTTTATAGCTGGGGAAACAGATTCAGAGAGTGAAAGTGACTTTTCCAAGGTTGCTCCTTTTAATGGCAAAGCCATGGTTTCAATTCAGGGCTGCCACATTGCTTCTTGGCATTCCTTAAGTCTTTCTGGAACTCATTTTTATATCCGCTTATTCATCCATTCAACTAGAAATTATCCAGCACTGGCCATGGGCCTGGCATGATGTAAAGCCCTGGTCACACAGACATGTCTGGAAACCGATCAAGAGCATAAGGGAGGGTTCTTGCCCTGCAAAATATTATAGATTTTCTAGGGAGAGGAGACATACAAACACCACAAGTTCAGGCATTGTTGCATAAAGTGCCCCCAGGAGTGAGCAATACTGCAAAGGCTATGGGATGGAAGAGTAGAGAGAACTCCGTGGACTGGCATAGCTGGGGAAGTCTCCTGGAGAAGGCAGAACTCCATTTAGGTGCCCCAGATTAGAGGGGAGAAGGAAGGAAGGACTTCACACAAGCAGAGCTGTGTGCATTCTACCTCCTGAACATCATTCATTTACATCCGTTTCTCTACATCCCCCTGGGCCCCATCCTGGTCCCAGTCACTAGCATCCCTTGCCTGGACACAGCCTAAGCCTTCAACATATCTGCCTCCTTCTTGTCTTGTTCCCCACCAATGGATTGGTATTGTCGATCTTTTTTTTTAATTGATAAAATACTTCAATCATATCAAAAAGTATAGTAAACAATGCAAGGGTCACCAAGATACCATCATTTAGATTCAATAGATATAAACATTTCTGCATATTCATTTCAGTTCTGTCTTTTATAGAAATATAACAATTTCAGCTGAATTCCTGCTCTACCCCTTAACCCTCCCTCCCCTTTCTAATGTTCTGTTAGATTGACCATCATTCCTACGCGGTTTTCTACTTTTTCTACTGATGCTGTATTCACAAAGCATATGTGGCATTTTGTGTATTTTCATTGGTAATGCTCACATACATAAGGTTCATATCATTTTGCAACTTGTCTTTCTTTCTCCACTGCTCATTGTTTTTCAGATTTATTCTTGATACAAGGATGCGTTAGGCCATTCTTGCATTGCTGCAAAGGAAACCTGAGGGTGGGTGATTTAAAAAGAGAAGAAGTTTAATTGGCTCATGGTTCTGCAGGCTGTACAGAAATCATGGTGCTGGCACCTGCTTCTGGTGAGGCCTCAGAAAACTTACAATCATGGTGGAAGGTAACAGGGAGCCAGCATGTCACATGGCCAGAGTGGGAGCAAGAGAGCGAGGGAGGAAGTGCCACATACGTTTAAACAACCAGATGTCACGTGAACTGAGTGAGAACTCACTCATCACCAAGGGGAGATGGTGCTAAACCATTCATGAGGGATCTGCCCCCATGATCCAATCACCTCCCACCAGGCCCCACCTCCAACATTGGGAATCACATTTCAACATGAGATTTGGAGACAAACTTCCAAACTATATCAGGGGAGATCTAGTTAATTCATTTAACTGCTGTATAGCATCCCATTGTGTGAATGAATCACAGTTTACCTGTTTCCCTATAGATGCCTGGTTAGCTTGTTTCTACTTTTTCACTATTAAAAATGGCACTGCAGTGAATATCCTTCCATATACCTCTTTGGGCACATGTGTATGTGGTTTTCTCCTAGGGTAGAAACCAAGAAACGGAATTGCTGGGTGCTATGGTCTGAATGTTTGTGTCCCTCCAAAATTCATATGTTGAAACCTAATCCCCAAGGTAATGGTATTAGAAGGTGGGGACTTTGAAAGGTGATTAGGTGATGAGAGCTCTGCCCTTGTGAATGGGATTAGTGTCCTTATAAAATAGGCCAGAGAAAGCTCCTTCGCTCCTTTCACCATGTGAGGACATAGCAAGAAGGCAACATCTATGAACCAGGTGGTGATTCCCTCACTAGACACTGAATCTGCTGGCAACCTGACTTTGGACTTTTCAGCCTCCAGTTTATGGCACTCTGTGATAGCAGCCTGGATGGACTAAGACACTGGGCCAAAAATACACAGATCTTCAACTCTACTGGTGTTGCTAAAGATTCTTTAAAATGGCAGTGCCACATTATATGTGCACTCCTCCAGTGTCTGTGAAATAAGAATTCCAGTGGCTTCACATCTTCACAGTCACTTGGTGTTGTCAATATTTTTCTTTAAAAAAAATCAAATTTCTCCTTCTTTCTTCTATCTTCTATGGCAGATAGAGGAATCTTTCTAAAATGCAAACCTGATCATGCCCCTTCCCTGCTTAAAACCCCTCCAGTGGGCCCTCACTGCTCCCTGTAAAACACCCACGCTCGAGTGACCCACAGGCTCTGTGTGAGGAGTCGGTGCCTGCTCACCTCTCCAGGCTCACCTCTCTCTCCTCCCCTGCCCCAACATGGCTGAGCATACAGACACACACATGCACACATGCGGGTATGCATACCTATGGGCATGATATTGTCCAATCAAACTAAACCATATACATTTCCCCTAATCTACTGACCTTTTCTTGTTTGAGGGTCTTGGGATACGCTGCTCTCTCTGCCTGAAATATTCTTATTCTTCCCCTTCTTCCCCTTCCCCACTCTTTAGAGGCTGAATCTTTTTTTTGGAGACTGTCTCACTCTATCGCCCAGGCTGGGGTGCCATCTTGGCTTACTGCAACCTTCGCCTCCCGGGTTCAAAAGATTCTCGTGCCTCAGCCTCCAGAGTAGCTGGGATTATAGGTGCATGCCACCACGCCTGGCTAATTTTTTTGTATTTTTAGTAGAGACGGGGTTCCACCATGTTGGCCAGGCTGGTCTCGAACTCCTGGCCTCAAGTGATGTGCCTGCCTTGGCCTCCCAAAGTGTTGGGATTACAGGCGTGAGCCACCTGGCCCAGAGGCTGATTCCTACCAGCCCTCAGCTCTTGGCTTGCTGCCTCCTCCCTGGGAAGCCTTCACGGGCATTCTGAGCCTGCGCGTGATGCCTTTCCTCAGTTTCCCAGCCAGCACCCTCCACTTTGGGCCTCACAGTTCTCGGGACACTGACTTGTGATTGCCTGTTTATCATCTCCCTGTCCCACTGTTCTGTAGACTTCTTCATATCAGGGCTTGTGTGCTCAGCCTATTTATTGAATAAATTTCTTACATAATCTGCGGACAGGAGACGGGTCTGGATGGAACAGAAGTGGCAAGAGGAGAAGCAGCAGGAAATCAGACTGGAGAGAAAGTGCTGAACCATAACCTCAGAACTCCAATCCCCAGGTAAGGAAACAGACTCGGCAAGATGACTGACCTTGTCTAGAGTCACATATTCAGTCAGTGTCAGAGCCGGATTTTATCTGCAGTCTCCTGACTTGAGGTTGGGGCGCTCTCTGCCGCATTTTAGCTGTGGACAATGGGAAGGAATCAGTATAGCAGGAGAGAGATGGGGCTGCCAGGGAGGGCAGGAAGTGCCGGGAGGGAGGCCTTGGGATCTGGGATGCAGGTGGACGGCTTGGCTCTGCAGACATAATCCTGGGTCCTCTGGGAGGCGAGGAAGGAAGAAACATTGGGCCAGTTTCCTAGAACAGACACTTGTCCAGGCTGCCTGGGGAGACTTGGGTGGGCCGCCTCTTCTCCTGGGAGGAGCAGACTTGTAAGAAGAAATGCATCCTCTCCCTGAAGACCCAGCCCACCTGAGTGGCATCAGGAGAATGATTTCTCAAGATCCCCCTTTGGCAGGAGGGACACCAGAGCCAAGGACAGCCAGGAAGAATTAAAGGAAGAATTAAAGGCCTAATGCAAGCAGGCAGGTGCTGGCCCGGGGACTGAAGTTCAGCTCCTCCAGCCAAAGGGGCTATAGAGGGTAGAGGTCAGGCTCAGAGGCTTGGGGTCACTGGCATGTAGAGGAGCCCTTCTGTGCATCTGCTCATGTGTGGCAGGGCAAGGGGACATCAGTAAAATGGGGACAACAATACCTATATGTCATGTGATTATGGTGAGAATTAAGTAAAATTATTGTAAAAATGGAAAGGGCTCAGAAGAGTGCTTGGCACAGAACATCACTCAGCTGCCCATAGTTATTATTATTTGCCCACAGGGTTGTTGGGAGGAGTAAACAGGACAGCCTGGTGGACAGACCCTGTAAGGCTGGGTCAATGACTACGAGCAGGCTTCTTCTGTTAGGAACTCAACCAGTGAGTGTAGATGAGGATGGGAAATCCTCATCTACAGAGAGGCAGAGAGGAGGGGCGTGGCCTCCAGGGAACCAGCCTCCTCCATTACTTGAGTTTCTGCACCTGACAGCTTCATCATGGATGACACAGGTCACCTCTGGAAAGATGCTTACAGCTCACACAATCCAGCTCTCCAGCTGCATACAAGGGGAAACCGAGACCCAGAGGGTAGAAGTGACTTGTCCTGGGCCATGTGCAAGGCACATCTGAGCCCCACTTCTGGACTCAGACCTAAGGTTCCTTCTTCTGTTGCATCAGCCGAGGTCTCAGTGTTTGGCATTTCTTCCCACAGTTGTCCTCTGCCTCAGAAATCAACGGGCTCTCACCAGCTCTGAGAACCTCAACCTTTGAGAGCTCCCTGATTTGATTCCTTTCTTCCTGTTTTCCCGTAGAAGCCAGTTGAAAAGCAATTGAAAGCCACTTCCACCTCTGGTGACCTCTCCAGAACTCTCCCTCCCTCGGCCTCTCCTGGAGAGGTCAGGAGCAGATTAGCAGTGTGTACCTATCTGCACCCTTCACGAAGGTTTTCAGGGGCAGGTGGTCTCCTTTTCCTCAAATGGAGTGCCCTCCCTCCCTCCTTCGCTGCACCCTCCCTCCCTTCTTCCCTTCCTTCTTTTCTTCTTTTCTTCCTCACACACCTTGCTGTGTCAAAACCACCCATCTGGTACACACAGAAGTTCATTCTGAGTGACCTTGAGCCTGCATCTTTGTTGCACAGGTAGAATTTCTCTACTGAAAAATAGTTTCAGGAGAAAATAGATACAAAATGCCAGGCCTGGTAAGAGCTCATTTGTAAGGCATATATTGACCAACAAGCCCAGGAATTATAGGCATGCAAAATGGGGGAAAATGAAGCTTTAGATTTTTTCTTGTAGCTACCGTGATTTTTTGATAAGCTGTTAGAGCAGCCCATGGCGGGTCTTGCTGCTTTAATAAACTCTCGTGGGGCCAGAGGAGTCTCGTATCCATGAAGCAGGTTCACGTATGTTATTTCATCTGAAACATACAACTGCCCTCTGAGGTGAGCTGGACAGAATTGTTTCCTCCACTTTTCTGATGAGGAAACCGAAGCTCAGAGAGATCAAGGAGTTTCTCCTAAAGATCTGACAGACCCAAGGCTTCGACCAAGTGTTTCTGACTCCACATCTAGGGCTCCTTTTACTAACAATTCTACTTGAGAGAAATCCAGACTTTTAAACTTAGGACAAGATCCTACCCAGAATTTTTAGTTAAGAGCTAGAATTAAGTGAATCTGAAGTGCACATTATCCACAAAAGGGATAAATTATAGTAAAGATAAAAGTGACCATTGAATCAACGACAACTAGACTGTCCCCTCTGGTCTCCCTGTTCCACCTTTGAACTCCAAGTTAGACTTTTATCCTCAAAGCCTTCCCTGGCTCCCTACTCACCCGCTGGGGTGGAGTGGATTATTTTTCCTCTGGGCCAACCTTTTCACGTTCTGTGAGTCTCAACTACAATTTGCATTATATTGTCATTCATTCATTCATTCATTCATTCATTCATTTGTTCATTCACAGAACTCTCTTGTCCCATGTGCGATGAGTTCCTCAGGGTAGTGACCTTCCCTGTGGCACAGTATCCTTAGGCAGTGAAACGATTCTGCAAGTGAACTGGCCTGGCCTGGTCTAATTCAAGGACACAACAATGTGTACCAAGTCTGGTGCTGGGCTTGGAGCAGTGGCATTTGCTGACTCAGAGAGGGGCTTGCAGCAAGTAGGGTGGTGGCCAGGAGCTGGGGAATGGGCATTGTGGGAGGGTCTTGACCAGCAGACAGATTTTGGGGAAGTCTGGGAGCCCAGGCTATAGCCACTGGCCTGAGGTTTGGGATCAGGACTCAAGTCTTTGGAGTTAGGGTTCAGGAACTTACAATGATCTTGGAAGAAACAGGCTGCAAGGCCAGGATTGGTATCAGGAATGAGTCAAAAGTCCTTCCCCTTGGAGGCCCAGCTGCCGGGCCCATGGGGGCTGAGCCCTCTGAACACCCTGGCAAAGGGCCAAGGATCTGGGGCCGTCTCAGCTGTCGGGGCAGGAGGCTGGGAGTGGGGAGGCAGGCAAGATATTTTAAGAAGCCGCATTTTTCTCATTTCCAAAAGGCAGAAGAGCTGAGTAGTTAAAGTACAAAGAAAAAAAAAAAGTTTGGTTTAGAAATTGCCCTAACCTAGATTCTCAGATAAAGGAGGGAGCCTTTCATATAGAGCTTTTTGTGATTGCTATGGTACAGGGGACCTCTCTTGCTTTGTGCAGAACAACCATCATTTCCGTTCCCTCCGAATAGCCCTAGTCCATCACTCTGACCCCAAAGACAGGCCGATGTCCAGAAATCATATTGAGTAACTCAGCTCATATCTTACCAAACAAGTTGGATTTTACTTTCTGGGTAAAAAAGTTATCGGTTCATGGTCTGTGCAATTACTTTGAAGATGGCTCATTCTCATTGCCTCTTGAAGGAAAGTTCCCAGTCTCTGCACACTTTTTTTGCTATGGCAAGGAGCACCAGCTGCTCACCTGTCCTCCACACCAGGGGAGTGAAAGACCAAGTTGTCATATGCTTGAAGAAATGAAAAGGGGAAACTAATAATATTTATTGAGAACGTGCTACGTGGAGGCATGGTCTTAGGCCTTTCATATGTATTATTCTATGTGTATATATTTACATACATACACACGGCAGTGCGGGGAGATAAGGTGTTACTATTCCCAATCTCCAAAGGAATAAATGAAGACTCAGTTGCCATTTAACAAAAGTGTTGGAGTTTGGATTTGAACTCCAGCTCAATCCTCTCTACAGATCTCTGAGATCTTCACTGCTTTTCTTTTTTTTTCTTTTTTTTTTTCTTTTTTCTTTTTTCTTTTTTTTTTTTGAGACGGAGTCTCGCTCTGTTGCCCAGGCTGGAGCGCAGTGGTGCTGTCTCAGCTCACCGAAACCTCCACCTCCCGGGTTCAAGTGATTCTCCTACCTCAGCCTCCAGAGTAGCTGGGACTACGGGTGTCCACCACCACGTCTGGCTAATTTGTTGTATTTTTAGTAGAGGTGGGGTTTCATCGTGTTAGCCAGGATGGTCTCGATCTCCTGACCTCGTGATCTGCCCGCCTCAGCCTCCCAAAGTGCTGGGATTACAGGCGTGAATCACCATGCCCGGCTTCTTCACCGCTTTTCTGCACAGTGAAGATACCCCGGAAGGACTGGTGCTACCTTTTCAGAGCTGGAATGATTATACCAAAGGCCACTGGAGCTGGTCTGGCCACCAGGAGCTTTCTGATTTCCCAAGTGTCCCTCCTTTATGCCAGTCTCTGATGTCAGCTAGACCACTGGTTGGCTGGCCCAGTTATCCAGATCTGAAGGCCCTGCCCTGGCCTAGGGGCCCTTATTGATAAGAAGAGAGTGATGCTGCTGGTTCCCTGCTAGGGGAGCGGTGAACCCAGCCGAGAGGACATGTTGGCTGCACAGGTTTGCCTGCTAAAGGAGCCAGCGCAGTTGGCTGCAGGGAATTTGATGAAAATAATCAGCTGCAAACTCTTAAAAAACAAACAGACTTCGATCCAGAGGTTTGAATAACAGCCCTCTCAGCCAGATGGCCGCAGGAGCCTCGCCAGGGAGAAAAAAATGATCTCCTGCCCTGAATTTCCTCTTTGTTCTGGACCCTGCTCTCGGTGGACAGCATCGGTGCACCCCACCCTCGAGAGCGCCAGCCGCCCGGACAGGGCCTTGTGTTTAGGGAGCTTAAGGCAGCTTTCCCCAGATTAGGGTTTTGGGACAGGGAATCCAGGCAAAGAAGCGGCTTTCTTGTCCCAGTATGAGTCACCACAGGCTGGAGGAAGCACACAGCTGTCTGCATCTGGGCCTGGAATGTGGTTTCCTCTTCACAGGACACTCCCAAGGAGACTGGGACCCTTGTGGGTACAGGACAGGAAGTCGTAAGCAGGGCCACCCTGTGTGGGGCAGACCTGGACACCATGGTCCCCTCCAACAGGGCTTCACGTCCGAGCTATTGGGAAGAGAATGCTAGCTTGCTGCCACATTACATTGCAACCATGTCTGGAACAAGTGGTAGGGAGTGCAACCTCCCAGACTCAGCCCCCGATGGCTCCAATAAGAGCACTGATGTAAGACTGAGACCAATGTGGATTCGAATCCTTAGTCTTCTACTGTGTGACCTCAGACAACTTATTTGACTTCTCTGAGCCTGTTTTTACTTCCCTGAGTTTTAATGAGAATAATAAAGAAATTACATTTTCAATGCATATAGCACAGTATCTGGCACATAGCAGGCACAAAATAAACATTGGTTTCCTCCCTCCCAGCCTTCTGGCCCAGAGCCTCTTGGTACCAAGAATTTCTTCTAATGCCTACTCCTAAATGCTTTCACTGATCCGTGGTTCAACCTGTCATTCTTGGCTTTTGGCAAAACTTCCAAGTACAATCCTCTCCCATCTTCCCTGAATGGATTCCTCTCTCTCCTCTATTGTTATTTTAGTGACTCTGTTTGCCAGTATGTATTTTGATTTACTAAGCTACCACAGATTCTGTTTGGAAGTAGGCTAGGCAGGGTATGCAATTACAGTGATGTTGCATCAGGCTCATCTAACTTACAAGTTATTTTATTTTTTAATTTTTAATTTTTATGGGTATATCAGGTATATATATATATTTATGGGTTCAATGAGAAACTTTGATATAGGCATGCAATGCCTAATAATCACATCAGGGTAAATGGCGTATCCAACACCTCAAGCATTTATCACAAGGTAATTTTAGGATTTCCTCCCCTCTGGATGGGCGATATGGCTCACTCCCAGCTCTTTGGGAAGCTGAGGCAGGAGGGTCCGTTGAGCTCAGGAGTTTGAGGCCAACCTAGGCAACATAGTGAGACCTCCTTCTCTACAAACAAACAAACAAACAAACAAAATTAGCTGAGCATGGTGGCACATGCCTGTGGTCCCAGCTACTCAGGAGGCTGAGGTGGGAGGATCACTTGGGCCTAGGAGGTCAAGGCTATAGTGAGCTGTGATTGTGCCACTGCCCTCCAGCCTGGGTGACAGAGCTAGACTCTGTCTTTAAAAAAAAAAAAAAAAGCTTCACAACAACAAACAAATCTATTAATATGTACTAAAATGTTAAAGTGTATTAGTCAGGATAGGCTGGATTTTGCTTCAGTAATAAACAACTCTTAAATATGCATGGCTTAAAATAGCAAAGGCTCACTTCTCACTCATGCTCCACATTCATTGTAGGTTTGTGGGGTCATCGTTCACACTGACCTGTCTTAGATACTCAAGGTTCACCACCTGGAATGCTGTGGGTCACTGCAGCAGGGGGAGGAGAAGATGAAGAATCTCTTAGCAGCACTAGAATGCTTCTGCCTGGTGGTAACACACCACTTCCCATTTCACAGGCCAAAGGAAGGGACATACAATCCTATTGTGTGCTCAGGTGGAAAATAACCAGAAAAACTGAGGAACAAGCATTAATGTTGACTACATAGAGGCTCAGTGTTTTAAAATAATAGAGGAAACCCTGCAGGCAAGAAGAAGTTTCAGTATTCTCCACTCTTGCCATTAATCACTAGGGATTTGCTGGCCATTTTAAAATCAGAATATGCCCAGACATTTGCATAGAAGAAGTTCCTTTTGTTTCTCCCTTCGGTCTATGTCAGAGGTCCTGAATTTCCAGTGTGCGTAAGTATTCTTGTTTGCCATTGTACAACGCTGTGTACACAATCCTAAAAGGCTTTCAGAGTGTTTTGGACATAAGCATTTTCCCTGTATGTGCTGAGTTTAGAACCTAATTTACTTAGGATGTGACTTTGCAGTACTTAATTGACACTAATGCCTGATTTTAGTTGTCCCAAAGTTTTATCACATTCTCCTCTTCTGTGCGTCACTTACAACCCTAGGAGCTAGTTTTTATCCAAAACTCTGAAAAACGTCGTCCACATACATTATCTTATTTAGTAACACTTGTAACCCAAAGGAGTTGGTTTATTAGTGGAACATTTCCATTCTACAGAGAGGGCAAGTGACTTGCTCAAGGACACAGCGCAGATATGTGGAAGTCGAATTTGTGAACATATTTCTGTCTGGCTTTAAATTCTGTGACTTTCTCATGATCCTAGGCAGGCTTCCAGCTGGGACAAGGAGGTCTTATTTGGAAAGGGAGTTTATAGGCCCTGAACTCTGCTCTGGAAATCTGTGAAAAGAACAGGAGGGAATGAGAGGCTCAGCCCCATAGACCCTTCTCCCTGCTGCCATCCACTCAGGGCATTGTGCTTAGTGAAAGCCCAGTTTCCGCAGGGATTACTTTGGGCACACAACATTCTAGGAGCTGGATGTCCAGGAATTCCTGTTAATTAGGCATTTATTCACGGAATAAATGTTTCCCTGAAGAGCTTTCTGCAGCTGGCCAATGTTCCGGTTTGGTCGTGGGCAGTGAGATGCCCATTAGTCTAGAATACACGACAGTGTGAGGCGCACGTTCACACGTGAATTGCCCGTGTAAGTAGTATAAGTATGTAACATGTATAAGTGTGTAAGCTGTGTAATATGTATGTGTAGGGTTGGTGCTTGTGTTAGCTGTTCTCTGTTTGTAGAGTCACTAGATAAAATACAGGATGCTCAATTTAATCTGAACTTCAGATGAGCATCAAATTATTTTTTAGTATAAATTTATCCATGCAGCATTTGGAACATAATTATACTAAAAACATGTTATTCATCTGAAATTCAAATGTAACTGGTCATCTTGTGTTTCGGTTTGGTAATCTGGCTGCTATGTCTACATGCATGTGTGTCAGCATAAATGGACTTGCTTGTTTATACCCCAGGGTGCACCTGAGTGTGTGTGTTTGTGCCCGTGTGTCTCTGGGTGGGTACGGGGGTCTGTGTGCATGTGTACCTCGCTGATAAGGAGTCAGTGGCTGGTTGGGAACCAACTGCTTCACCATCCATAGCTCATCTCCTGCCAGTCCAACCCTACTGGAGCAAGAGGGGTCAGGATGGGCCAGGCATGGTGACTAAAGCCTGTAATCCCAGCACTTTGGGAGGCCGAGGTGGGTGGATCACCTGAGATCGGGAGTTTGAGACCAGCCTGGCCAACATGGTGAAACCCCGTTTCTACTAATAATACAAAAATTAGCTGGGTGTGGTGGCAGGCACCTATAATCCTAGCTACTCAGGAGGCTGAGGCAGAAGAATCGCCTGAACCCAGGAGGCAGAGGTTGCAGTGAGCTGAGATTGCGCCATTGCTCTCCATCCTGGGTAACAAGAGCAAAATTCAGTCCCCAAAAGAGAGACAGAAAAAAAAAAGAGGGGTCAGGATGGGCCTTGAATACCTGGTCAGGGAGCTTGGACTTTCTCCTGAGGGTAGCCACGTAAGGCTCTGAGTAAGGGAGCAAACAGATCTAGATGTGTTCTACAGAAGTCCCTCTGGCTGCATTGCAGAGAAAGAGCTGGAGAAGGCAACACCAGAGGGAGGCTGAGGGAGCTGGATGGTGACCATAGTGAGGGAGGGTGAAGATCTGGGCTAAGGCTTTGGCAGTGGAGATGGAGGGAAAGGGTCTAATTGCAGGACTCGTTGAACAACCATGAAGGGGCTGAGGAAGTCTGAAGTTGCAGGTGGTGTTCATGTTTCCAGCCTGGGCACCTGGGCTGATGAACCATGGGCCCCTTGGTGTTTATCTTGCTCCCTTCCTCACCCTCAATGTCAGGCACAGTGCCTGGCATGTAGTGGATGCTCTGTGGGTGTTTATGGCATGAATACATGTACATGTTGATGAGAGAAGTGGGGAATACATCAGGAAGAGGAAGAGGAGAAGAAGGTAGAGGAGGGAGAGGGAGAGGAGGAAGCGAAGGAAGAGGAGAAGAAGGGGAGGGAGGAGGAGAGATACATCCTGACTGCATGTCAGCGCTGGGGACTGACAGTGTCTATTTCATCCCTGGCTATAGCTCCACATTAAAATAGTACCCAGCAGTGAGTAAATGACAGTGTAAACCAAATCCAAGCACAGTGCCTGGCATATCGTAAAAGCTCAATAAATGTGCATTCCAACCTTCTTTTCAGGGAGTAAAGATGCTTCCATTATTCCAAGGAATTTCCTTCCCTGAGCACAGTTTTTCTGTTTTAGGGAGGTAAATGTCCTTTTGCTTGGGACATTTTGTCTTTTCTGCCATTGAATTCCTGGGAAATTCAAATGCACTGGGCCTCAAAGCTTGCTGTGGATCATGGGACAGTTAGAGCCCTAGTGAACAACGGCCCGATCCCAGGGGATGGCGCTAGTCAGGGTCAACCCCCTCATGGCCTCTCCTTCCTTCTGACATAGCCTTGTCGTCTGTTGGGAACCCAGAGATTCTCCTGGGTCTGGCACATAGTATGTGCTGTGTAAATGTTTGCTGTGATTATTTTTGTTATTACTGTCCCTGGGCCTGGTGTTTCCTGAAATTGAATTATTTCTCTGACTCTAAAGCTTAGTTTATTTTATTTTATTCAAGCCTTTGGCTAACATCTCAATAGCTCAGGATTCCCAAAGCAGGGAAGACTAATTCTGACACGATCCCTTTCCGGCAATTTTTAAACACTCATGCCACAGAGGAAGGTAGGCTTCCTTCAAGAGCTCACTTAGTGTAGATAAACATTTGACCGGTGGATATGCAAACAGTCCAAAAATGCACCTTTTTCTAAGTGTAGGGTCTCAAAAAGGGTTTTCAGGATTCAATGCATATTCATTTAGTCATTGGCTTGTTCATCTAGTAGTTCCCACTGGAATATAAACCAGGGCAGGCTTTTTGCCTGCCTTGTGTGCTATTGGAAACCCAGTGGCCGAACAGGGCCCGACACTTCACAACTGCTCAATACATATTTGTTGAATGAATGAATGAATGAATGAGCATCTTATCTGTGCTGGGATGCCTGGCATTTGGATACCAGAATTGGACACAGTCCCTGCAGTCCGTGAGCTTGTGGTCCTGCAGAACATCCCCTGCACCCAACGTCTACGTGAAATACAGTGCAGATCAACCCAACTGCCTGTGAGATAGGGAAGGCACCTGCAGGGGTCACGGAGCCAGGCAGAAGGAGAAGCACTTCTGCTAGGAATACCAGAGAAGGCGTCTTAGACTAAGTGGCATTTTTTTCCCCAAAAGTCTTGAAATCACCTTTTATTTTTGTTATTCTTTGTAGAATATGTCAATGTTTTAATAAGGACTCCATATACACATACAAAAGATCAACTGTGCTAATTATGTTAGGCCAGGTTCATTGAATCCATTTTAATCTTCCAAATTTGTTTTTCTTTAAACCGTCAGTCTAATTATAATTTTAAAACTATGATGAATTTTTATTTCTTTTATTGATATGTAATGTTAAACACATTTATAAGGCACATGTAAGTGTTTTATGCATGGAATGTGTAATGGTCAAGTAAGGGTATTTGAGGTATCCGTCACCTTGAGTATTTATCATTTATTTCTATGTGTTGGTATCATTTCAAGTCCTCTCTTTTAGTTACTTTGAAAGATACAAAATATTGTTTGTTGTTAAGTATAGTCATCCTAGTCTGCTATCAAACATTAGAACTTATTTTTTCTATCTAACTGTATGTTTGTACGCATTAATCACCTTCTCTTCATTATCCTCCTCCCACCCACCTACCCACCCTTCCCAGTCTCTGGTATCAATTATTCTATTCTCTATGCCCATGAGATCAAGTTTTTAGCTCCCACGTATGAGTGAGAACACGCGGTATCTGTCTTTCTGTGCCTGGCATTTTCACTTAACATAATGACCTCCAGTTCCATCCCTGTTGCTGCGAATGACATCTCATTCATTTGTATGGCTGAAGAGTATTTTATTGTGTATCCATACCACATTTTCTTTATTCATCCACCTATTGATGGACACTTAGGTTAATTTCATATCTTAGCTATTGTGAATAGTGCTGCAAGAAACATGGGAGTGCAGGTGTCCCTTTGGTACACTTGAATTCCTTTCTTTTGGATAAATACCCAGTAGTGGGATTGCTGGGTCAGGGGGTAGTTCTATTTATAATTTTCTGAGAAACCTCCATTTTGTTTGCCATAGTGGCTGTGCTAATTCACATTCCCAGCAACAGCGTGTTAAGAGTTCCAAGGTGGTATTTGCACCGCTTTGGTTTCAGCATCAAGGAGGAGTTGGTGGAAAGTCAACAGAAGGAGCCATGGTCTAGAGATGGGATATCTTGGTTGGCAGAGGAGTCCTATTTAGGCTCGCTGGGGATAAAGGTCACTGAAGCATATGTTCTGGATGGTAGGGCCCATGTCTGTCTGGTCCTTTGTTACATAGCATGGGATCTGGCACAGTGTGGGCTCTCAATGAGTTGTTGATTAAGAGAAGGAATGAATGACATGAGAGAAGAAAGAAAAGATGGGACCTAGACATCTTTCTGGAGGTTTTCTTGGCAACTATAATGGATTTCATTGCCTCCCCATGTCTGGAAGGAGCCTTAAGCCCCACCCCCATTACCTCCATAGCACTCCACCAAGCGATCATCTCGCTTTGGCTAGGATGCCTCTCAGTGATGGGGTTCTCAATCCCTCCCACACAACCTGTTCCTTTTTTATATAGATCTGATTATTAGAATAGCCGTCCTTCCACTCACCACAAGGAAGCAGAACGGCAGCAGGGAAAGAGCACTCAACCTGGAGTTAGAAGACCCGGGCTTGGCTCCTGAGCCTTCCACTGTCTCACCGTGTGGTTCTTGGGCAGGGGCAGGTGTAGCCAGTGATTATGAGTGTGGGCTTGGACATCTGGCAGATCTGCCTTAATTTCCTTATCTGTAAAATGGGAAGAGCAATAATGCCTACCTCATTAGGGCACTTGTGTGGATTAAATGAGATAATGCATGCAAAGTTCTTAGTGCCTTACCTGGCAAATTAGTGAGTGCTCAATGAAAGTTAGCTATGGTTTTTCATATTATCATCTTCTTCCTGGCTTTCAGTTTCTTCCTCTGTGTAATGGGAATAGGAAGCTCTGCCTTGGATGTCTCTAGGGCTTGGTGTGAGGAGCCAGACAGAGAATGGGCACGAAGGATCCACAGAGGTGAGGGATTCTGCATCATTCCCATCATATCGGCTTTTTCTGTAGGAGACTCCACTAGTGTGTGGTTTACCCCGAGATCACTCCTACAACACCGAGATCCTGAGGTTTTTCCCTCCCGTTGATGGTTAGGTTTCTGTTCCTTGACAGCCTGAATCATGGCCTCCAAGATCTTATTTACTTACTTATTTATTTTTATCAATAAATAAGTATTTATTTATCATCATTTATATGATGATCACGTTGGATTGTCACCCAGGCTGGAGTGCAGGGGTGTGATCATAGCTCACTGCAGCCTCAAACTCCTGGGCTCAAGCAATCCTTCTGCCTCAGCCTCTCTAGTAGCTGGGACTATAGGTGCATGCCACCATGCCTGCATAATTTTATTTTTAATTTTTTTTAGAGTCAAGGATCTTGCTATGGTGCCCAGGCTGGCCTTGAACTTCTGGCCTCAAGCAATCCACCCATCTCAGTCTCCCGAGTAGCCGGGATTACAGATCTACATTTAGAACAGGACTGCAAAGAAAGGAAAGGAGAAATGAAGAAAAGGAAGCAGACAAAGTTCTGGTTTTCAGTAGTTCCTTGGAGAGCTCAAGACTCAGACTCTGACCCTGTCTGCAAAGGGGGATCGTCCAGCCTTTGAAATAACCATTTCCTTCCCTCCTGGCCTTTTTCAGATCAGAGAGGTGGGAGGGGGCGTGGAGATTTAGTTCCCGGATGCACTGAACAGGAGGCTGTGAGCTTTCCTCTGATGTGCGACTCTTCTGCAGGGGCCCTGGCCCTGGGAGGCGGGGCTCTGGGCTGCGGCAGCTCCTCCTGTGGTCTACCTTGGCTTCACTGCAGGCCCAGCTGCTGCTGACCACGCGGGTTTCTTTTAAGAGGCTTGGCTGACCCTCAGCACAGCTGAAATGTTCTGAGACCTTGAATGTCAGAGATGGAAGCAACTTTATGATTCTCTGGGCCAGAGGTTCCCAGGCTGGGGTCCCTGGACTTGGGGTGCTCAGACTATTCCCGGTTCTTTCAAAAGCTGAAAAGAAACAGTATATAGCCCCTGTGTGAGGGCTCACGGGCTCGTAAAAGTATCCGGTGTCTTGACTTTTCTCTGAAATCAGCTCCAGCTGGTCCCTCTGTACCCTGGTGTTGCTGGTGACAGTGATAGCTTCCCACTGAACTTAGCTGCTAGAAGCAAGGTGAAGCCCTTCACACACCATCTCACTGATCTTCGATCCTGTAAGATGGGTACGTTTATGAGTCCTATTTTGCAGATGGAGACACTAAGTGCCAAAGGGGTTAAGCACTGTGCCCGAGTTCACACACCCAGCAGCCTGACTCCACAGCTCCAACCCCCAGCTACTAGCAAATAGTCCTCTGAAAGCTCAGTTATTTAGCTTTGAACACAGCAAAACTCATCATTATTCAGGGAAGATAATTTAGTAGAGAAAATGTTGAGATCTAAGTACTACACTTAGGAGGAATAATAAAAGGGTTGGTGGAATAGTTGAGGATATGCCATTTTTAATTTTTTATTGATTTTGTTTTGTTTTGTTTTGTTTTTCTTTGCTCTTGAGAGATGGCACATGCCACTTTGTTTTGTAAAACAAAGGCCTAGAGAAGTGAGGGTCCTGCCCAGTGTCATCTTGGGAACTGGTAGCCAGGACGAGAACTTGTTTCACTTTGCGTGGACTTCTTGGGTCTGACTCCAGAGGGCCTCCAGGGCAGCAGTGGCTTGTCCCGAGCTGATGGCATATGACTGGGGGTTCCCTGGAAGGGTCTCTGACATCCCCCTGTCCTGGCAGGCCACTCCCCAGCAAGGGTCAGGCCACACATCTTGACTAGCTTTCCACCAGTCCCCACCGACCTCCCACCAGCTGCACATTGCCTTGGCCTTGCCAGACCACAGAGCCGTTTAGAGCTGGCAGAGGCCAGCAGAATTCATCTTCAGCAAACTCTTCCTTCCAATCCCATCATTGTACATGTACTTTATGATTTGCAAAGTGCTTCCACATCTTCCACATCATTCAACTTGAGACCCAGGGCTGTTCTGGGAGCTGGGTGGGGGAGGGATAGTACCCCATTTTACAAAAGGAGAAAAGGAAGTTCTAAGAGGCAAAGTACCTTGTTCAAGGTCACACACTCAGATAAGAAATGTTGGAGTCAGAAGTTGGAGCTGGGTTGACCTTTTCCATTCCAGTGCCTGTTGCACCAAACAGCCTCCCTGTTTGGAATGAGGAATTGCAAGAAGCAGCGGTAAGTCACATGCCAAGCTGGGTTGTGCCAAGAACTTTATATTTAACTAACAGCATCGCCATTAACCATATCTTTTTTCCCATAGTGGACAAATACAGGTACCTAAATTAAAACAATTTTATCTGTGTCAACCAAGATTGCAGGCCTGCACTCTGAGAACTCATGATGTAATGAATAGACACAAATGTTCAAGGCAGAAGTGGTTTATATTCTAGACTCATAACTGTCTCACTGTGACCCTGAGAAAATGTTATGCTCTGGGCCCCTGTTTTCCATGTGTACAATGAAGATAATAATACCTAACACCTACCTTGCTTGTTATGAAAATGATTAGGGCCGTCATATACAAGTTTCTTCGTAAAATTTTAAGACGTGTTATACAACTATTACACATGACCATGAATCTTCGTAAACACCTAAGGCAAGGGAAATTCACATACACACACACACACACACACACACACACACACACACACATAAACACATTTATATGTAATTAATGATGAATAAGTACATCCTAAGTAGTTTACATGGCTCATTCTATTAATTGGAACAAGAGCCTTGTGGAAGCTAGTACCATGATCATTCCCATTTTATAGATGAGGAAACTGAAACCCAGAGATCTTAAGTAACAGGTAGCAAATGGCAGAAGCAGGATATGAAATCTGGATAACAGGTAAGCTCTTTAACAGCCAAGGTGCATCAGAATCACCTGAAGGGCTGGTTAAAATATGAAATGCTGAGTCCCACCCCGTGATTCTGATTCAATAGGTTTGGTGTGGGGCCTGAAAATTGGATGCTGATACTGCCGGATCAGGGACCACACTTTGAGAGCCACTATGTTAAGCTTTGTGCCCAAGACCACATACCCAGCAGTCTGACTCCACAGCTCCAACCCTCAACTACTAGCAAATAAATAGTCTTTTAAAAGCTCAGTTGTATAGCTTTGGATACTGCAAAACTCATCATGATTCAGGGAAGGGAATTTGGTAGAGAAAATGTTGGGGTCTCAGTACTACACGTAGGAGGAATAATAAAAGGGTCTCACTGCTTGTAATCCCAGCACTTTGGGAGGCCGAGGCGGGCTGATCACGAGGTCAGGAGATCGAGACCATCCTGGCCAACATGGTGAAACCCTGTCTCTACTAAAATACAAAAAATGAGCCTGGTGTGATGGTGCATGCCTATAGTCCCAGCTACTCGGGAGGCCGAGGCAAGGGAATCGCTTGAACCCAGGAGGCAGAGGTTGCAGTAAGCTGAGATCGCGCCACTGCACTCCAGCCTGGCAACAGAGCAAGGCTGTGTCTCAAAGAAAAAAAAAAAGTGTCTCACTGTATACAGAGCTCTCCTGCCCTTCCAATGGCCCAATCCAGGCCCCCTGAGGCCTGTGACACAGGTTAGCTGGATCTCTGTATGCACTAGGTGCTTGACTTATGTCTGGTAGATACATGTTACGCTAATGGAGAGGTGTGGAAGTGGACGGTGATGCTGGGTAGACCTTTTCTCCTTCGGAAACCAAGTGAGAGAAGTTACCCCATGCATTTGCCTGTGTTTGAAGGCCCTGCAGGTGCCTGAATCTTTGTGGCTGTGGCTACTCAGGCCCTTCCCCAGGGCCATCCAGCAGGAGGGAAGGCCATTTGTCTGGAAAAGGCACAGGAGAGAATTCACATGATGTCTTCCCAGCTCCCATCAGTCAGGGTTTCCCTTTAAGCTCCTCACACTCCCAGATTTCAGGAAACAGTCTATGAATGGAGAGAAAAGGCACAGCCTTCAAAAACAGAAAGCACAGACCAAGAATATTTAAATTCAATAAACCTAATTTAATTTATGTTTTTGAAAAGAAATAAGAAACCAACTTCCAGAAGAAGAGAAGCATTTCAGAAAACAGGGGTTGAGCCAAAAGCTGTGGTCACAGATATAAGAGAGTAAAAAATCAAGGGCATATGGATATCCACTTGTTCCAGAACTATATTTGTGGAAAAGACTATGCTTTCTCTACTAAATTGCATTGATATTTTTGTAAAAAATCAGTTGTCCAGACCTAGAATAGCCAAAACAATCTTGAAAAACAACAAAGTTGGAGGACTCACACTTCACAATTTCAAAATTTACTACAAATCTGCAGCAATCAAGACTGTGTGGTACTGGTGTAAAGACAGACTTATATCAATAGCACAGAATTTGAGAGTCCAGAAATACAAGCTCACATTTATGATAAGTTGATTTTCTGCAATGGTGCCAAGATCATTCAATGGAGGAAAAAAACCAGAATCTTCAACAAATGGTGTTGGGGCAACTGGATATCCATATGCAAAAGAATGAAGTTGGACCCCTGACTTACACCATATAAAAACATTAACTCAAAATGAACCAAAGACCCAAATGTAAGAGCTAAAACTATAAAGCTTTGAGAAGAAAACATAGGTATAAATCTTCATGACTTTGAATTAGGCAATGGGATATTTCCTCATTTAGTTTGGTCTTGTTTAACTTCTCTCAGCAATGTTTTGTAGTTTTCAGTATAAATCTTGCACAGCTCTGGCCAGACTTATGCCTAAGCATTTCATATTTTTGTGTTACTGTAAATGGTATTGTCTTTGAATTGCAATTACCAATTTTTTTTTGCTTGTGTATAGTAATAAAATTGATTTCTTTATGTTGATTTGATATCCTGCAACCTTGCTAAGCTCACTTATTAGTTCTGCAGCTTTAATGTAGATTTCATCAGATTTTCCCCATTGACAATTATGCCATCTGTGAATAAAGGCAGTTTCTGATCTGGATGCCTTTTCCTTTACTTGCCTTAATGAATTAACTAGAACCTCTGATACAACATAGAAGAGTAGCGAATGCAGAAGGGGGAGATCTTCCAGTCTTTCGCATTAACTATGATGTTAGCTGCGGGTTAGCTGAGGTCTTCTGCCTCAGCCTCCTGAGTAGCTGAGACTACAGGCACCTGCCACCACGCCCAGCTAATTTTTGTATTTTTAGTAGAGATGGGTTTCACCTTATTGGCCAGGCTGTTCTCGAGCTCCTGACCTTGTGATCTGCCCGCCTCAGCCTCCCAAAGTGCTGGGATTACAGGCGTCAGACACCACTCCCGGCCTTTTTCCCCCTCTAGTCTTAATTTGCTGGGACTTTTAATCAGAAATTGATGTTGGAGGCTGGGCGCGGTGGCTCACGCCTGTAATCCCAGCACTTTGGGAGACTGAAGCGGGTGGATCACCTGAAATCAGGAGTTTGAGTGGTCTGGCCAACATAGTGAAACCCTGTCTCTACTAAAATTACAAAAATTAGCCAGGTGTGGTGGCACATGCCTGTAATCCCAGGTACTCGGGAGGCTGAGGCAAAAGAATTCCTTGAACCTGGGAGGCGGAGGTTGCAGTGAGCCAAGATCGCGCCACTGCACTCCAGCCTGGGCGACAGAACACGACTGTCTCAAAAAGAAGAAGAAGAAGAAAAAAAAGAAATTGATGTTGGATTGTCAAATGCTTTTTGGACATCTACTACTAGAGAAAACACAGGGATCACAGATGAGAGAGAGTTCAAACTTGAGAGTGGCCTCTGTTTTCTCTCAGAAAGAAGATAAGGGGAAGAAAGTGCCCTGCCCAGTGAAAGGAGCCTTGCTTAGGGAGCCACGTGGGTGTGTGGGGAGCCTCTGTTCTGTGTCTCTCTCCTTGGCCAGCCTTCCTAGGGTCCAGGTCCTGGCCTGTGGACTCCAAAGCCAGTGCTCTTTCCTCTACACCAAACTGTCTAAAGACTTTGACTCCAGAACACTGCTTGACCAAGGCCCCTAAAATGAATAAAACTTTAGATTCCTCAATAATATAAAATAGTAGGAATCATTTGCTGAGCACTTTTGGAATATAAGAAACAAAGCTGGAACTAGGGTGAGGTGAAGGAGCCATTCACGGATGCAAAATTTAAGGGGGCACTCGCTTGACCCTATGTGCCTCCCTGGCCTCACCCTCATCCAGGCTCTGCAAAGAGCAGTGCTAAACACTTTACCTGCATTTACTCCCTTAATCCACAAAACAACACTTTAGTGATAGGCGTGATTATTGTTTTTGTTTGTTTGTTTTCTGAGACAGAGTCTCGCTCTGTCACCCAGGCTGGAGTGCAGCGGTGCAATCTTCAGCTCACTGCAACCTCCACCTCCCGGGTTCAAGCGATTCTCCTACCTCAGCCTCCCAAGTAGCTGGGATTACAGGCGTGCACCGCCATACCTGGCTTTTTTTTTTTTTTTTTTTTGGTATTTTTAGTAGAGACGGGATTTCACTATGTTGGTCAGGCTGGTCTTGAATGCCTGACCTCAAGTTATCCACCCACTTCAGCCTCCCAAAGTGCTGGGATAACAGGTGTGAGTCACGGCGCCTGGCCATGATTATCATTCTTAGTTTACAGGTGAGGAAACTGAGGTTCAGAGAGGTGAAAGTGACCTGGCCAAGTAATTAGTGGCAGAGCTGGCCTTTGGAGCAAAGTCTGTTCATGTTTTGTCTGTGTTCTTAATCAGTGGTTCTCAACTCTAGTGACCCAGAATCACCTGGAAGTTTGACTGAAACACTGCTGGCTGCCCCCCAACACCCCTCGCCCACCGCCACTGCCCCAGAATTTCTGACTCAGTAGGTCTGCTATGTGGGTAGGAGAATTTGCATTTCTAACAGGCTCCGGAGGCTGCTCCTGCTGCTGGTCCAGGGACTGTCCTTGGAGAACCACTTCAGTATGCCTTACTTCCTCCTCCATGACCCCTGTTCACTGGAGCTCAGGGGCATGAAGATTCTGAAAGTGAAAGAGAGAAGTCTAAGAAGTGTCAGATCCTTCTGGCTTGCGAAAAAAATGAAAGCATCAATTTCCCTGGACTGGACCAAGAGTTTCCAATGTCACCCCTGCTATGCTGAAGCCCCAGCTTCATTCCAGAATGCCCCAAACAGAATCAATGAGCAGCTATGAGTTGAGTTGGGGGATGAACTGACCAGTAGTGAGAACCTCTGTGGGGACTTATTCATCTGAAAAGAATGCCTGACATTTATTCTGAAAGGCTTCTTTCTATAGACCCTCAATCCTTGTAGTACAAAATGGGCATTTTCTTCTTAAATATATTTCAAATGTTTTCTGATTTATTCTGAGACATCTGTATCAGAGGGACCCGGTACACCAGATTTTTAAAGCCTTTGAAGAAAGGCCATTGCAAAATAACAGACAGCGGGGATAAAACCAACACAGAGCTATTTAACATGTGATAAGGAAAGGCAGACTTAAACTGGGCTTGCTGAAATCCCCAAGTTTTAAACATGTGACATTTCCAGAGTTGACCCTAGTGTCTGACGGGCTAAATTTTTCTTTAATCCTCCACATTTTTGGTCTCTAAGAACCCCTATCAGGCTGCACATTGCCCTAAAGTGCAATAAGAGAAAAGCTGATTTTATTCCTTCACTAGATCTTTATTGGGAGTATCACAAAGCCCCGTGGCAGGAAATCCCAGCCCTGGCTATACCTTGGACTCACTTGGGAAGCTCCTAATCATCTCTTTGCCCCAGTTACACCCCAGACCAATCACAGCAGAATCTCCGGGGGTTAGGACCAGGCATGCCTGCTTTTGAAGTACCCTACCCTCCACTGTGACACCATTGCAGCCAGGGCTAAGAAGCTTTGCTTTAGACAGTGAATTCCTGGAGAATCCCCACTGCTTTCTTCTTGCTCTTTCTCCAGGAGCTACAGCTGATAATGATGCTTCACACCCTGAATATCTCCTCCTGGAGTTAAAGCCTAACTTAGAATGTGGAGGCAGCAGCTGCCTGGGCTCTGATTTGAACGGGAAGGGAATTCCTATTTCTTAAAGATCTTCCCAGTGCCAGCCTAGTTTCATCCACCTAATAACCCTAGGAGAAAGATATTACTGTCTTCACTTGGTAGAAGACACGACTGATGTTCAGAGAGGTGAAGTGACTTACCCAAGGACACTCAGCTGTCAGATGGCACAGCTGGGATTTAAAGCCAGGTTTGTCTCCCCTCCTCCTTGGGAAAGATGGAAGAGTCCCTGTTAGCCACAGGGAACCCCTTCCTTCTCAAAGCAGCTCACTCCTCTTTCGGGCATCCAGGAGCCCTCATCCAGCCCCCTTTCACCCCCATCCCTGTCTCAAGCCCCAGTGTCTCCCCAGGTTCTGCAGCACGGCTCTCTCAAGCAGTCACGGTGAAGAAATGAGCTTTGGCCAGCGGGGTGGGGTGGCCCTGAACAGTTCTTATGCTTGCACTTCCCGTGTCTGTCTTTTTTCCTGATGATGAATTGCCCTCTGGGGGAAAGGGGACCTCCGAGCTTACCTGGAGGTCAAGGCCAGCTTGCCTGGAAAGGAAGCCTAAGGAACCCCTTTAACTTTGGGGACCACTGGACACCAATGCACTGTGCCTCTGCAATTCTGTGCTTGCTGGTCCTGCTGTTTCTGCCATAACCTACTATTGGGAAAGGAGGGGGAGGGAGGATCCGCTATTGTTTCTTAAGCCCTACTTCACAGGTAGAGAGCATCAGGAGAGGGTGCCAGGAGGCAGCACCATCCAGCAGAAATCAATAATCCCGGACCAGAAAATGGGCCCCTGGCTTTCTGTCCCAGCCTTGCCACAAACTGAGTGATTTTGCAGGTCATGACCTCTTTGGATCACAGTTATCTTATGTGCAAAGCAAAGCATTTGACCTAGAGAATTTTTTTGAGCCCTCAGGTTCTATGAGAATTGTGCTGCTCTAGTAACAACAGCAGTTAGGGTGACCCACCCCTCCTGGTTTGCCAATTGGAGCATTGAAGTCCTGTGTGTCAGGAAATTCCTTAGTCCTGGGCAAACCAGGATGGTTGGTCACTCTAACTGCTGTCATCTTTTCAGTATGCGGCGTGTTCGGCCTCTGGCACACGACAACAGGAGCAGTGGCAGCAGTAGGCTGTGGTCTTACTGCCATACCTTTAGATTCCTTCCCTCATCTCAGAGTGCTGAGAACAGAGGCTGCAGTTCCCTGGAGGCCCGACCTCTCTCTGTGCTTTCCCGTGGTCCTCGAGGCAATCTCCTGTCTGTCTGCCCTACCCTGGACCGTGCGTCTGGCCTTGTAAACAGTTCCTGATTTTCTCCAGTTCTGAGGCCCCTTGTTTCTTTAGCTAAAGGTCAAGGGCAGGATGACTCTCTTGTCACTGTGCTGTTGGGTGGGGCATCACAAGGGCTCTGCTGTGCTCCTCCCCAGCTCCCTGGCATCGAGCATTCCCTCCACAGCCCCTTGGTCACTGGCAGCCAGAGTCACTATGTGTCCACTCACAGACCCGGCCAGGCCTGGCCGAGAGTGGGTGGGCCATGCGCAGTTCAGCGTGGAGCTTGTGCCTCATTGTTGCTCCTAATGTATGTGCAGTGCCCAATAGCCACCCTGCTTACAGCGGGTGTCAAGCAGCTTCCTGGGTGCTTCTCAGAGGAGCCTCACATCACTGTGGAAGGGGAAGGTCTTTCTCCTGGGTTAATGGCTGTGGACACTGAAGCTCTGAGAGGCACATGGGCTTGAGGTAGCCCATTCAGGGCCAGGACCAGGGTTCCAGTCTGTAAGAGCCTCTTTAGGTCTCTAAGACCCTGCCACTCAGGCCTTCCTTGTTTCCAGGCTCCTTATCCATCCTTCAACGCCACCATTGGCATCATCGCTCCACAGCACCGCCTGGCTTGTCCCTTCATTAAACAACCTGAAAGGACTTTGAAAAGCAAACAAAACCACCTTTTACTTACAGAAACTTTCAAAGAAATATGGAAGGGAACAGTGTAACAGCACCATCCCCCAATACCCCCAGCTTTGGCAGCCACCTCTCCTCTCATTCCATCTGGCCCCACATGCTCCTGCCCTCCTTGTTGTTTGAAGCAGTCCTAGATCTACCATTTGAACCACAAACATTTCTGCATCAATCTTAAAGATGAGAACTTGGAGAAATAACCACAATACCATTACCATCTTTAACAAAATAAACAATAATTCCTTAATAGCAACAAAAGCCCCGAGTTCAAATGTCTCCCAATGTTTCTTAAATGTTGTCATTAGAATTCACTTGTTTGGCTCAGGATTGAAATAATGTCTGTGTATTCCAACTGATAATATGTCTCTTAAGTTTCTTTTGACCTCTAGATTGCCCTCTTCTTTGCCTTTTCCTTTGTAATTTATGTTTGAGGTGAGGAGTATCCCAATTACCCAAATTTGACCATTACACATTATATACATAGATCAGAATATCATATGTGACCCCAAAATATGCACAACTATGATAAATCAATTAAAAAATACAAAAAAAGAAAAAAGAGAAACTAATCATTTGGCTGGTAGAGTTAGTGTCTCACAATCTGGATTTTGCTGTTAGTAACCCTTGTGGTATTGTTTAATATGTTTCTCTGTTCCTTGTGTTTTAAAGAAAACATAATGACGTAATGCCATTATCTTTTTTTTTTTTTTTTTTTTGAGATGGAGTCTCCCAGGCTGGAGTCCAGTGGCGCGATCTCGGCTTACTGCAAGCTCTGCCTCCCGGGTTCACGCCATTCTCCTGCCTCAGCCTCCCAAGTAGCTGGGACTACAGGCACCCGCCACCACGCCCAGCTAATTTTTTTGTTGTATTTTTAGTAGAGACGGGGTTTCACTGTGTTAGCCAGGATGGTCTCTATCTCCTGACCTCGTGATCCACCCACCTCGGCCTCCCAAAGTGCTGGGAATGCTGTTATCTTAATAAAACTATTTTTATTCCTTCCCATTCCCTTCTTTTTTTATTTTTTAGAGACAGGCTCTTGCCCTGTCACCCAGGCTGGAGTTCAGTGGTACCATCATGGCTCACTGCAGCCTCAAACTCCCGGGCTCAAGCGATCCTCCCACCTCAGCCTCCTGAGTAGCTGGGACTACAGGTAGACACCACCTAAACTGGCTAATTTTTAAAATTTTTTGTGGAGATGGGGTCTTGCTATGTTGCCCAGGCTGGTCTTGAACTCCCACCTCAGGCTCCCAAAGTGCTAGTATTACAGGTCTTACTCCCTTCTGATCACTGTTTACATGCATATAATCTTTCAGGGTTTTTCCTGTTAATTTGATTAACACTACTCTGTAAATATTTTCTAGTTTTTATATAGAACTTTCATCATTAACATTCTTAATAGTTACCTACTAGAGTTATGTTAAGCCTTAATCATTCTTCTATTGTTGAACTTGTAAAGGTTTTGTCTAGTTTTATCACTATGACAGATAACACTAAATCTTTCATGTCTCTGGTATAATTATTTATGTATGAACTCTATATCCGTGACTTTGTCTGTGTTGGGTCATGTGTCCACACTGCTCCCTCCCTGCAATTTTTGTTTCCAATTTAACAAATGTAAAATGATGCATGGAGGATCCAAGATGACCACAGATTCTTTGTTACCTCTCCCATTGAGAGGTGGAGTTTAATTCCCCTTCCCTTGAACCCGGGCTGGCCTTAGTGCCTTGCTTGACAAACAGTATGTGGCAGAAGTAATGCTCTGAGACCTCTGAGCTAGTTTGTAAGAAACCTTGCAGTTTCTGCCCAGGTCTCTCAGAATGCTTGCTCTAGGGCATGCCGGCTACCACGTGAGAGATCCGGCCACTGTGAGGAGACTGCGTACTAGAGAGGCCCTGAATAGGAGCTGGGGTCCATATCCCAGCCAAGCCCAGCCTGCCAGCCTCCCCAGGCAGCAGCCATGAGAGTGAATCCTTGGATTCTCTCAACTCATTGGCCAGCTGAGTATCACAGAGTGAGCCAAGCCCCGCCTCAATTCCTGACCCTGAAAATCATAAAATACAATTAAATGGTGGTTGTTTTAAGCTGTCAAATTTTAGGATACTTTATGTAGTAATAGGTAACTGGAACAGGTGCCTTTATGTCCTTCCCCTAGCTCCCTTTTTAAAAAAAAAAAGAACTTTTTTGTTTTTGAATAAGAACTACGTTTCTTTGATTTACATTTCCAGTGTATATTTTCGCAGGTATTTGGATTTGCATTTGTGATTTTTTTCTTTTTAAATTAATTGCCTTTGTAAATTGGCCTTGTTTTGTTCTGGGGTAGGACTTTGACTCCAAAGCATGTCTGGGACCCTGCACATCTAACTCCTACCTATGTCGCTGGTGGAACTTATGCTCTTAACAAGGAGATTTCTATCTGAATGTCCTGGGAGGTGCCTTCCAATTCTTCCATGATTGCATCTCTTGGATGGTGGAGTGAGAAATGAGATTTATCTTCTGAAGCCAAAACCCATATCTAACTGATCATGGCATATTTAGTGCTACAAATGAAATACAAATAGAAAGACATACTAAGCATCCTTTCAATTCTTCGTGACAAGAAGACCCTTCTGCATCCATAGCAACCAGGAAACACAGAAACAAGAACATCCTTCAACCCTGAATGATTTCTGCAGTAATATCATTTTAGATTTTGTGCCTTGAACACAACTATAGTTTTATGTTTGCTTTTTGCATATATTTTGTATTTATTTCATAAAACATGAAAGCATTCTAAAAACACTAAATAATTCTCATCTTACCCTCACCTCTACTAATGATGTTTCTTCCTGCTTAAAGCATTCACAGCATCTATTGTTATATTTCTGAAAGATTTGAATTTTTTAAAAGTAGAGATCTAATAACATGAGAGAAATTTGAAAACAAGGTAAAAAGCCATAAGCCTACCACTTTGACAGTGACAACCATATTTTTATGTGCCCTTGCTGTTTTTACAACTCACGTGTGTTTAAATATTTTTTCAGACTATTTCACCTAATATTTTATCAGAAGCATTTTCTATAATCCCATAAAGTTTATACCCGTCATTTTTAAGGGCTATAGAATATTTTTTCAAGGTTTATACCATAATTTACTTAACTACCCTCCTTCCCCTTTTTGCATATTTGGGATGATTCCAGGTTTTCACTAAGCAGCTCTTTGATGAATATTTTTCTGCATATGGCTTTTTCCATATTTCAGGGTATTTTCTTAGGCTAGCTTCCCAGAAGGGGATTACTGAGTCAAAGCACATTAACATTTTTATGGCTTCATAGTATCTTTTGAAGAAGGTAGGTGTTCCATTTCATGAGGTCCACAAACATAAAAGAGGAAATTTGGCTTCAAAAACTCCCTTGTAACACATGTACATTAAAATTTTGTCGTAGAGCTGTTCTGATACTTTTCTAAGTAATTAAAGCTTGCCCTTTTAAATTAAACAAATATAAAAAGTTATTTTTCACTTTGTTTTTGAGAAGAGTCTTTTCTAGGATGTTCTACACTTCTGAGCTTTTCTAGAAAGAATCCACAAAGCCAGCTCTGATTTTCGTCTTTATTCATGGACCACAGGCAACTACTGGAAATGGGGGTCTGAGAAGCTGATCCCAAGCAAACAGCCAGGCATCCACATAAGCAAAGATGTGTTGGGATTTCTCTGGTCTCACCTTGCGGCTAGAAACTTTCATCTCTCAGAGAAGTCCCCCAGTACTCCCGCATGGGCTCATGCGAATGTGAAAAACCTTCAGGTGGCTTTCCCTGGATCACCCAGATAGCAAGTTTAGGTGGCTGAAGTGAATAAAGTCTGCGTGCTTTCCTGAAGTGTAGGCGAGATGGGATGTGAGGCCAGAAGAACCAAGTTCCAGCTCCAGCTCTGCCCTTTATCAACCAGCTGACCTTGTGAACGTTTGCTGCTTAACCCCTGAGTCTGTTTCCACACCCCCGGGGCTGTTTTGATAATCATGTGACGTAAGTAGTGAGGGAACTGTAAAGGTCCAGACAGATGTGGGTCAGCGGCATCTTGTTTAGATTGTAAGAACAGAGGCCAGTGCGCACCAAGGTTGTATTTTGTCAGCATTTTGGATGGGAAACCTACGAAATCTCATGAGTCATTAAAAACGGGAGCCCTGGTAGGGCTGGGTTCCTCAGGGCCTGGAGTGATGGGGGTAGGGTTTGAAACGGGGTGGGGTCTGGCTTCTTGGTGACACCAGGCTGCTGGCAGAGGGAATGTGCGGCACCTTACATGAGGGCTCTACATGTGGGAACACTGAGCCACAAAATCCGAGAAGCAGAAAAAGCATAAGCCAAGCTAGGGAGGAATAACCATGGAAGGGTGTGGGGTGGACCACGTTTTCCGAACATGGTGTCTTTAAATCCTTTAACAATAACATGTTGATATGGTGGTTGTTAAGAGCATGGTAAAACTATTAGGAGGAAGCAGTTGGAAAAAGGGATCAGATTAATTTAATTTGTGATGAAGACTTTGACATGGTCAAAGAGCGGCTGGTTCTTCCACCAACCACTGCCACAGGCTCCACCCCTTGAACCTGGCCCAGCCCTCAGCCTCCTGGGCAGCATCTATTCCTGTGCGGTTTCTGTCTCTTTAGGACCCGCATAGCTTGCCTGTGTGGTAGGGAACTTTGCAATGGGTTTGGAGAACCGGGCTGCCCATCTGGCGTAAGGTGCTATGGCTCGATGTTGCTGAGAAATACTCACTTAAGACCTTTTGGCTTAATTGAGGGTCCTCAGCCCCCACTCCCATTGTGGCTAGCTTCATCGTCCACTGTGATGCAAGAGCCTTTGAATGGGTCGGATCCACCCATTCGGGGAAACACAAAACACATGGGCCACCCGCTTCAGAGAGCAGAGCCCTGAAAGAACCACGGCCCTCAGCAATGCACGATTGTTTGTCTCTCTTTGGCCATCTGGTTGTGGGAGACAGAGCAAGTCAGATTTAGCTCGTTAGAAGTCACTGGGGCTTTCACTTTAGCCCTGAGATTTTTTTAGGTCAGGTAGTGTGTGTGAGAGCAGACAAACGATTCCTATGGTGAGTTTCATTCCATATATTTCCACCCTCTCGGGCTGATGAAGAGTTTTGAAATCATCACACCCTAGTATGGGTTGTGGCCTATTTGTGCATCATGAAATCTATTGAACGGGTTTTGATCAGCCTTTTTAAAAAAAATATAACGGAGCACAACAGAGTAGAAAATATCTGAATGCGTTACATGTAGTATGGGCAAATATTGCTACATGAAACCTTTGTTTCAGAAGTGTGTTTTTGAGATTGTGAGACCAAGGGTCTCAGTTAAGAAAGATTAAGAGCCACAATCTGGTAGCATTTCTCAGTGGAGCACAGTTGGTATTTTTGCTGGGCTA
Organism: Homo sapiens; assembly: GCF_000001405.40. NCBI lineage: Eukaryota > Metazoa > Chordata > Mammalia > Primates > Hominidae > Homo > Homo sapiens. The sequence continues at coordinate 98,931,445 of NC_000009.12, forward strand.
GTTCTCTGTTAGGTAGCCTGCCTCTTACATTGCAGAATTTAGCATCCTTGGCCTGCCAAATGCCACTAACATCTGCATTCATTGTGACAAAAGAAACTCCCCATACCCTTATATTTCCAAGTGCCCCCTAGGAATGCTACTGACCTGTGGCAAACTCTTGAGTCTCTAGGCTTGAGGGAAGAGGAAGCCACAACCTGTGGCAGCTCCGAGTGACCACACTTCACAGTCATGTCCAGCAGAGCTGTTTCTAACAGTTGATGGGCAGGAGGCAGTGAGGCAGATAAAGGGGAACAGAGAAAGTCTGTATTTTTTGTCAGCTGTACCACTGGCCACTCTCAAGAGTAAGGTGTGGCCCTGCCATTTGGGAACATGAAGACTTAATCTGTGATGAAACTCCTATCAGGGCCGGGTGCGGTGGCTCATGTCTGTTATCCCAGCACTTTGGGAGGTCAAGATAGGTGGATGGCTTGAGCCCAGGAGTTTGAGATCAACCTGGGCAACATAAGGAGGCTCCATCTCTACAAGAAAATCTAAAAATTAGCTGGGCATGGTGGTGTGTTCCTGTAGTCCCAGCTACTTGGGAGGCTGAGGTGGGAGGATTGCTTAAGCCCCAGCCGTTGAGGCTTTAGTGAGCTGTGATCACCCCACTGCACTCCAACCTGGGTGACAGAGTAAGACCTTGTCTCAGAAAGAAAAAAAAAAAAGCCAAAAAAACTATCTCTTTGGACAGATTTTATGTCCTGCCGTCTCTGGCTTATCTCAAGGACACATTTATCAACCCTCATCCTCCTTGAGACAAAAATAGCAGTTAAATGTAGTGCTTTTTACATTTGCCCCATCCTTCTTTACAGATACTGTGGAAGCGGCAGTCATTGTCTGGTGCACTGATGAGGGAGCTGGGGTAGAATGGAAGGCAAGCAGCCCAAACGTGTGGCGTTTTGCCCACAAACTCTTTGACAGGCCTCCTTGTGTGGTCAAATGGTACCTAGAAGATTCCTTAGTTGTCTTATTTCTTTAAATTAAATAAATTTGTACAGCAGAGCCTCTGGTTGGATTGGGCTTGGGATCAGGTACAAGGTCCCTTCTAGCTCTTGGCTGCTTTCTTTCCGAAATCTTGGATCCTAAAGGCCTTAACTCAACAGAATACATTTTTTTCTTGCTTTTCCAAGGGTGTGGCAAATGGGAAAATCCATCTAAGAGAGGTCTTGGCAGTTTGTCTGAGCTAAAAAGTTCAAATGCATCATCGTAGGAGACAGTATTAAATACTCCAAACAGGCTGGGCGCGGTGGCTCACGCCTGTAATCCCAGCACTTTGTGAGGCTGAGGCGGGCGGATCACCTGAGGTCGGGAGTTCCAGACCAGACTGACCAACCTGGAGAAATCCCGTCTCTACTAAAAATACAAAATTAGCCAGGCGTGGTGGTGCATGCCTGTAATCCCAGCTACTTGGGAGGCTGAGGCAGGAGAATTGCTTGAACCCGGGAGGCGGAGGTTGCAGTGAGCCAAGATCGTGCCATTGCACTCTAGCCTGGGCAACAAGAGCAAAACTCCTCAAAACAAAACAAAACAAAACTCCAAACAGAGCATTAGACTTATGATGTCTCAAACGTTCTGGGGCTACCCCCACGCTGGAATACTATTTCTACCTAATGCAAGAAATTCCAAGATAGAATTCAGGAACCAGGTGCCATGAGAAATAGAAGTGTGAAACTTTAGGTCAATGGCAGTGAAGCTGTAGCGTGCATAAGAAAGACCAGGGAGCTTCTTAAAATTGCAATTCTCGAGCCCGCACCTATAGACATTCTGATTTGATAGGTTTTGTGTAGAGACTAGAAATCTGTACTTTTAACATGCTTTCCACAAAATGATTCTGATGCAGGCGGGCCACAGGTAAAAAACACCAGTCTGAACCGTGGCTGACCAATGTTGTTTGGTGGAGTGACACCCTCTAGGGCAGTGCTTAGCAGAGCATGCAGAGACTTGAAGACACATGATAAACATGGATATGCATTTCCAGTTGTCCTTCTTATTTGTAGTGGTCTTGACCCCGAATGCCTGGGGAAACTGAGCAGGAGGCCCAAAAGGCATAGAAAAGAGCATTGGATAGGAGTCAGGACATTTGGCTCTGGCTTTGCCCTGGATTGACAGTGGCCCTGGGCAATCCCCTTCTTCTCTCTGGGCATGAGTGGAAGCTAGGCTTGAAGATCTCTGAGCACGCTTTTAGATCTGATATTCTTATATTCTTTTTTTTTTTTTTTCAACCTCCGCCTCCCAGATTCAAGCGATTCTCATGCCTCAGCCTCCTGAGTAGCTGGGATTACAGGCACACACCACCATGCCTGGCTAATTTTTGTATTTTGTAATAGAGATGGGGTTTCACCATGTTGGCCAGGCTGGTCGAACTCCTGACCTCAAGTGATCTGCCCACCTTGACCTCCCAAAGTGCTGGGATTACAGGTGTAAGCCAACGTGCCTGGCCTAGATCTGATATTCTATGACTGTATATCTGGGCCTTTTATTTGTATTAGACAGATATTTGTATTATTTAATGCTAATAAACATTATTATTTATTATTATTTAATTTATTATTATTTAATAAATTTATTATTTTATTATTAATTAAAAATAATTGGCCTCTTATTAAAAATAAATGGCCTCTATTATTTAAAATAATAATAAAATAATAAAATTATTATTAAATAATAATAAAATAATAAATTTATTATTAAATAATAATAAAATTAAAAAATGTTTAGTGACATGTTAAATGCCAGAGTCATTTAATTTCACACATTCAACAATTTTCTATCGTTATTACTATTTTTTAATTCATGAAACTTGAGGCACAGAGACTGAGCCATTTGCTGTGTTGCCCAGGCTGGTTCTGAACTCCTGGGCTCAAGTGATCCTCCCATCTCGGCCTCCCATCACTTATTTTCTTTTTTTCTTTTTCTTTCTTTTTTTTTTTTTTTTTGAGATGGAGTCTTGCTCTATCGCCCAGGAGGGAGTGCAGTGGTGCGATCTAGGCTCACTGCAAGCTCCGCCTCCTGGATTCACGTCATTCTCCTGCCTCAGCCTCCCGAGTAGCTGGGACTACAGGCGCCCGCCACCACTCCAGGCTAATTTTTTTGTATTTTTAGTAGAGACGGGGTTTCACCGTGTTAGCCAGGATGGTCTTGATCTCCTGACCTCGTGATCTGCCCGCCTCGTCCTCCCAAAGTGCTGAGATTATAGGCGTGAGCCACCGCACCCGGCCCCATCACTTATTTTCTAAGAAGAGGGGTACAGCTCCAGCTGGTAAAGAACAGTCTCTGGATTTAAACCCCTGTTGTCTGATTTTGGATACTTTATATTGCTCATTTGTCAGATGTTGGATGGGGACTTCTTTGTCCCTTGGGAATGGCCTCTATCTCCCCCTATTCTGTGGTTTTTGGAAGCCCACAGCCATTTTCAATATTTAAGCACATTCCCAGAAAGCTTATCTTCTTATGTTCACCTCTGATGCTGAGCTCTTGTTTCTAAGTTCTGGTTATAACTCATCACAGCATCCCATGTGTGCAAACTTTGTTCTGTTCTATTGACCAAGACGTTGTATTAATGTCTCAGTTGATATCCACAAAAGTCCATTTTTATAAAGCATTCGTGTGTCGGGCAAACTTGAGTGAAGGCTGTTGTGGTTGCTGGGGGAAGGGTCATTGCAGGAGGGCTTTCCATTTGCTGGAATGCAAACAGCTGCAAACCAAGCATTAGACTTAGGATTTTGCAAATGTTCTGGGGGCACCCCCATGCTGGAAATATTTCACTGGCTGCTTCATCACACAGAACTTCTGGCCTCACACTATCTTGATGGTGCTTATCAGCTCTTGCCACTCTGCCTTTAGCTGGGTTTCCCAAAATGCAGAGCCTGAGGCAAAGACTTCTGTGCCAATTTATGAAGTTCAGTTCCAGGAAAGAGGGAGGGGGAAAAGAAGCAGGGAAGAAGTAAGAGCAAATAACAGGTCTTATATATAGATGAGTCCTCAGTCTTGTGGGACGTTTTTTTGAGAAGCTGCTGCTCAGGGTGGCTGATGTGTGATAGGGAGGGAGAAATAGTCATCCACTGGTTTCCATCTCTCATTGTTCAGAAGCTGGCCACATATTATTTCCTTCGCATTTCCAAGTTGCTTATGTGTGGGCACTAAATGAACCCTACAGCATCTCATGTCTCAGGATTAATATAGAAGTCCCTAAGTATGAGGTGAGAGTTATACACTTTGTGCAAAAATGAAGGCACTGCCAGTTTTACCCGTAATTGATTGGAGTCCCTGGTGAGTTGATCTCTGCAGCAATGGCTGTGGCTGGAATGAATGACCACTTGGAGGCAGGAAATTCAGAGAATTTGAAATGGTGCATTAGAGATGTGTGGCGTAGTTTACTCCCTGCACTGCTTAGGTTTGCCTTCCCAATAGATCTAGCTCCTATGCTATCATATAGGACCTTCAATTTTGAAAGAATATGATGTTCTCACTTATTTTCTTTGTGTGTGTGTGGTGGGGAGGAGTTGGGGGCAGGGTCTTGCCATGTTGCCCAGGCTGGTTTTGAACTCCTGGGCTCAAGTGATCCCATCTTGGCCTCCTATCACTTATTTTCTAAGAAGAGGGGTACGAGTCCAGTCAGTCACAGAATCCCTTTCAAGATCATAACCAACTTAGATCTCTGAGAAGATTTTAGCCAGGAGAGTGAAACAAGCCAAAGTCCCCTCAGCTGTAGCTAGTGCCATATCCCTCCTCCCCCACCCAGTCTGATTTCCTTTATTCTCAGTCCATACTTTGGATGATCTGGCTTGCTAGCCTAGTGAGGTGACCTAGACCTTTATCCTTTAAGGGTCTGACCTCTCAGCTGCCTTGATTGCTTCATGTGCCCATTTGCTATCATTACAGGATATGCATGTACCAAGAAATACACCAGGACATTCCCTGGATTGTAAATATATCTTCTCTGCCCCATAAAGTAGCTGCTACTGTGGCTCCCGGTGGCCATCAGGGCTCAATAGCCCCACTTATGCAGTCACTCTTTTTTTGCCTGCTTGCCCACTGGCATGAGGAGCTCAAGGTGACCAGATAGTGGTCACAACTTCAAGTTAGTGGCCTTATTGTATCTTTTGGAGGAGTTCTGCTGAACACTAGCACCTCTACCCCACCAGAGCTTAGTTTCAGTGGATCACTGGGAGAGGAAAAGGACTGAATTCCACCACTACTCCTTGGTTTCCAGACCCAAGTATTCTAGTTTTTGGAGACACAGCAACATGTATTGGCCATTAATTCAGTGACTTTCCCAACCACATTCTGGAGGAGAGTCCTACAGCTCAGCACCAGGTGGTCCCTAAGCTGGTGCCTTAGCTGAGCCTTTAACAGGCCTTCCCACCATTGTATTAATCTAGATGTTTCTGGGGTATGTGCTACATGATCAAGTCAATGGAGTCCTTGATCATTCACTCATTGTCACACTGCTTTTACCATAAAATGAGTCCCTTCATTTGAAGCAATGTTGTGCAGACAACATGCCGATAAATCCAACATTCTGCAAGTCTTTGGATGGCAGTGCTGGCAAAGGAACTTGGTCAGGGAGGGCAAACCCATTTCCATTTGGGTACTGATGCTGAAGAGGAAAACATACTCAGGACAGGGTCTGAGGGGATCAACTTATCACCAAAGGGTTGGCTGGCCTCTCGGAGGACTGGTGCCATATTGAGGGCTCCGTGTCAGTCTTTTCAGCTGGCAGGCTGGGCATTCATCAATGTCAGCAGCTATATCTGCTTTAGAGGGATGGGGCCCATGCTTCTGGGCCTGTGCTTAGCATTTACCCCTGCCATCATTGTCACTGTTTAAGGCTTCTCCGTGTCAGCTCCTTGATAGTCAAGGAGAGAGACTGGCTGACATCCACAGGATCAGTCACCCTGTCACCTGGCTGTTGAATTATCTCCTCTGTGGTGGATGGTTTCTCGTGAGCATTGAGATACAAAGACCAACACGTGTGCTCATTTCTGTAGGTCAATCTACATTATGCTTCCCTAGATCTCCTGGTCCCAGATCATCCAATCTTGTCTTTCAGGCCTCTGGCCAACATCGAAGTCATTTGCCCACTGCTCAGGCATCTACATACATCATAATACTATACTACTTCTCTCTCTTTCAAAGAGTTTGACCAAGTGCCCCACTCATAGTTCTACCCCCTGGGAGGAGTTCTCTTCACCGTTATCCTTTGCGGCCACCCTTGAGAAGGCTGCAATGCAGCAACAGCTCATTTCAACTAGCACTGACATATCACACAGGCTCATGTGTGAAGCAACCTGGGTTCTTTCCTTAACTGATTACTGGTTGTAGGAAACCACCCATGAAGCCCTAAGTGTGAACTCAAGAAGGGGTGTTGGTGCAAAGCAGTAAGTGACCTGGGAGTCTGGGCTACCTGTTCACATAATTTACTCGTGCTGTCTAGACCTTTTTAGGCCTGATCTCAAATATATAATTGGCATAGATAGTCTTAGCTTCTGGCAGAACCCTTACATTAGCAACTTGACTTGTAGAGTCTGGTAGGAAAAGTCAAGTGGAAGTCCTTGAAACTACACCCTTTCCTCCACTTCAAGGCAGTAGATCAGAAGCAAAATCACCTCTCAGAAAGTATTGCAGGGGTTAGAACCCCTATCATGACTTAAATGATGCAGGGTATGGTAGATCCCATTACATTTCAATTAATTAGCTTGTATAGGCCCCTGCGAAAGCCAAATCTATTATCAGATGATAGTGGATTTCCAAAAATCAGATGATAGTGGATTTCCATAAACTTGGCCAGATGGTAGCATCCATTGCAGCTGCCATGCCAAATACGGTATCTTTACTGGAATATACCAACATAGCCTTTGGTGTGTGGGATGCAGAGTGACCTGGCAAAGTGGAATCACAAGGAAGATAAAAACCAGTTCACTTTTACATGGCAGATACAGTAGTATATATTCACTGTTTTGCCCCAGGAGTATCATAACAGCTCTTTGTTATAATATAGTCCATAAGGACCTTGTCATTCCAACATGCCATGGACTATCCTGCTGGTCCCTTATACTGGTGACATCATGCTGACTGAAGATAGTGAGCAGGAAGGGACAATTGCCTTAGATACTCTGTTAAGATGCATGAATAGGTCAGAAGCTGAGAGATAAGCTCCATCACCTGTCTCATCCTGGGTTATTCAGATAGTAGCATCTGAGGCTAAGTCTTGTGTGCCTCTATGGCATTAGGGAGTGTGATCTTAGAGAGCAGAAGTGAAAAGGAAAGGGAGGCGAGGTAGGAGGAAGAGCCCAATAAGAGGCAATAGACATGACGGACTGCTCTGCAAGCATTGTGTGACCATCTTCTGAGATGCCTTATAAATTACTTTCTTGGCACAGTGCATCTGGAAGAGGAAGGGAGAAAAATACATCTACTGGCTTCCATTGGCTGAAATTTTGCCCCACAGGGTGTTATTTGCACTGTACTTCCAGGTTGCTCATTGCAGGCACTAAGGATAGTGCTGAGGATGTCATGCCTTAGCATCAACAGGGAAGCCCTGGGGTGGAAGTGAAAGGTGATCAATGTGGACATGAGGCCAGGGGCTGTGAGTTGTATCTGCCTGAAGTTGGTGAGAGTCCAGGTAGAGTTGGTCTCCACAAAGGGGACTGCTGTTAGAACAAGTGGCCAGAGACCCTGGAGACGGGTGAGACTAAAAGAATTTCAAGCAGCTATCTTAATTTGGATTCCCGCAGCAAAAGACTCAGAGGCAAGGATTCCACTGCCAGCAGTTCACTTGGTCAGTTTTCTTAAGAAGCACTGGAAGGGGAGTGGGGAAATGAGGTGGCCAATAAAGAGTGAGTGCACAATACCCCTGTGGGAAACCGGAGCTCAGTCCTGTGGAAACTCTGGATAGAAGTATAGAATGTGTGCCTGCCTAGGTGTTCCCACCAGCTGGGTAAGGGGGCTGAGATTCTCATCCACCAGCTCCTGACCATCACTGATTGAGAGCTGCTTGGGGAAGGGGTTGCTCCATTAATTTCCCAACACTTCTGGTCTTCTGTGCTTGTGGGCAGAGCAGGCTCCAGGGGCCAGAGAAAGCGCTCAGGTGAAGGGATGCAGGTGCTGGCAGTTGGAAGACAGCCACCCTGCACATAAATGATCAAGATGGAGGGGATCTGGACAGGATGTTGCAGTGGCACATAAAAGGTGTCTGATACATTCTCCCTCCTTTTTCTTTTCCTCTTGGATTGTCAGATTTTCAAATCCATCATTTTCTCTTATGTTGAACCAATGACTCTTGTCTCAGCCTGTGGCCCCTCTTTGCATATCCAAACACATCAAGATGCTCAGCAGAACAAATGAGTCCTCCTTGGAAGGTAGTTGTGGGCTTAAACAGTCATTATTTTCTCTTGGTTATCCCAAAGGCAGCTATCTCTTTAGTTATTCTAGTAAATTCTATTCTAGTTAGCTAGTTAAATCTATTGCACTTTTTCTGCACATTAAATCAGATGATATGCAAGCTCTAACTACCTCCTGTAGACGTTCTCATCACAACTCCACAAGGGAGGCATTGTACCCATGTAGTGAATAAACTGAGGTCTAGAATGACATGCACTATATTCTTGGTAACTTCTTCAGAAACCAAAGTTTTAGATGATTTCCACAGATTTTTGTGCCCCTTCCAGCTGCTTGAGACAGTATGGAGAATGCTTTTGGATATTGAGTTATCAGGGACATTGGGTAGATTATGGGAAAATGGAACAGCCTATTAATTTAGTCCAGTTCTGTAAGAGTTGGGACATAAGATCCCCAGTCTTCACACATCCCAATCTCACAGATTACACTGAACGGTGGTAAACAATTTAGATCAGCTTGGGTATGACACGAAGCTTCCTCTTGGCTATTTCTACAACTTAACATTGAATGGAAGGAAATCACTTAAGCCCTAAAAACACTGTCTGGCAGGAGGTAAAATGTCTTGCTTGGCTTCCTGCCCCATCCCTCCCACACCCACAGCTGGGACCATTTGGCCCCCACTTCAGCTCCCAGGCCTGAGACCCTCCCTGTTCTTCATCTGCCTGAGTTCAGGGACAAGCTGCAAACTGAGAGCCCTTCTTGAATATGAACATGGTCTGGCTTCCCAGGAGAAATAGGTGCAAAATCAACAACCTTAACACGAGTCTATTTCCAGTCATTTGTAGATGAGAAGTGTGCTTTGGGAAACTTCATTTTTAGATTCCAGTGAATTGGGTATCATCAGTTACAGAGAACCAACAAAATATGAAATGTGCACATAGGACTTCCCTGCAAGAGTAGAAAGGAATCTGTTGCCTTATGCATATGTATCTTGGACTGATAAATTGGATCACAATCAAGTCTTCACCCTTCATGTTATATATGTAACTGAGGAGGCCAGGTTTGTTTCATAATGGCACCTTCATTTTTATTTTTTTCAATGTACACACTTTATTTGTATATTAAACAAGTAGAAATATGTTTTTCCCCATCTTTCTTTAAACATGTTCTTCTCCCCATATATCTTCTGTTTACCCATTTTTAACAGGAACATGAGCATTCAACCTATTCCATTTTTTCTTATATGCAAAGGCAGAGTGCAACTGTGATAGGGGCAATTGATTCTTAGCTTTGGTTTTGGGGACAATATGGGGTGGTGGGAACTACGGCAAACTGGACAGTACTGCCTTAGCTGAAGGCAGCAGCCCCTATTCAATGCCAATCAATTGTTGGCACAGAGAATGCAGGCCTTATGTCGCCAGGTTTTCCAAAATTTCAAAAAGAATCCAGAAGTCTCAATTTTACTGTGCAATTCTCTAATTATCAAATATTGCTAGCCAATTTAATTTGGAGGTTGACACCCAGCAGACCAGATAAAACATATCTATGGGCAAAATTGAAGGCTGGGCATGGTGGCTTATGCCTTTAATCCCAGCACTTTAGAAGGCTGAGATGGGTGGATCAACTTGAGGTCAGGAGTTTGAGACCAGCCTGGCCAACATGGTGAAACCCCGTCTCTACTAAAAATACAAAAATTAGCCGAGTGTGGTGATGGGCGCCTATAGTCCCAGCTACTTGGAAGGCTGAAGAGGAGAATCACTTGAACCCGGGAGGCGGAAGTTGCAGTGAGCCACCATTGCACTCCATCCTGGGTGACAGAGCGGCACTCCATCCTGGGTGACAGAGCGACACTCCATCTCAAACAAAAACAAAAACCAAAATCAAAAATGAAACAAAATTGAGCCTATGGCTGCCAGTTCACAATCTCTGGTTTTAAAACTGTCAAACAGAACCCTAGATCTACTATGTAGCCATAACTGATGTGGTTTTTCTAAGCAGTATAGAAATATAGTTCTAAGAAAGTCAATTATATTCCTAGTTAATGTGGTACTTTACAAACAATAGAGAAATATAGAATTATGAAAGCAAATTCCCTATGGTTAGTGAATCAAAATAAAATAAGGTTAGGCCCATCACAGAGTGGCTGCAAGTGGGAGAGAATTTACATTCACAGGGAATGTGAACAGATTAGGAAAGAGGCCTCAAGTGGACAATTTTGTCGGGATGCAGTTCGCCTTATGTGTTAGCTCCACATGAGGCCAACCTGGTTCTCGAGCTGCTTTGGCTACTGGAGCCTCAATCCCTTAAGAGGTTGATCTAGGGTCCCCCCTCTGTCTTGCCAGTTGTCCCCCTCCACAGGCCGCAGCCCCGATGAGAATATCCACAACCTCTAATAATAGAAGCCAAAATCCAATGGACAGAGAGCACTGTGGTGTACCAGTAGGTGGTCCCATCAAGGGACTCACAGCCACCATTCAATTCAAGGTAGTTGTGTCCATTATCCAGGTGGAGAAATAAAAAATCAGACCAAGGGCAAGATTTGCCCAACTTCACCCTGCAGCCAGGGCCAGCATTGGACTGGAACCCAGACTCCTGATCTCCAGGCCAACCATCCCTCCTCTGAGCCCTCACCGCCCAGGCTGGCATGAACCCTTTCATATCCGAGTGCTCTGTGTCTCCACTGCGATTTTGCTCTTGAGGGTGGAGAGTGAGTCTAATCTTCTTGCTTACTGGCAGGCAGCATGGCTGAGTGGGGAGGAGCATGGGTGTTGCATCTGCCATTCATTAGCCTTGGAATGTTTTGAACCTCAGCTTTCTTATCTATGAAATGGGGATCATGACAGTATCACCTTTCCATGGCTGTTGTGGGTATTAAATGAGATAACACAGCTAAAGCATTTAGCAGAGGGCTTGGGACATAATCCACACCAAGTAAGCATTAGTTGCTTATATCCATTCCCATGCCATCTCCTCTGCAAGGCTAACTCACTTGGCAAGAGGTGACCCATCCTCTAGAGTGGAACTGAATCAAACACAGGAACTGACCACAGAGCCACGGCCCACTGTGGCTACTTGGTGCTTCAGGAAGAGAGGTTTCTAGTGTTTACCTGGCTTCAGAGCTGTCCAGGTCTCAGCCAACTTCAGCGGTGCCTCTTCTCACTCCAAGATCTCACACTATGTGCCGGGTGGTAATCTTAATAAAAAGCGACCATTGAGGGTTTACCCAGTGCCCTGCGATAAGCTCTGCACAGATGGGTTAGTCTGCCCTGAACCGCCTCACTCCCACTGAGGGCTTTCGGAGGCAGAGCCTGGTTCATGACCCCCACATCTCATCACAGGGCCTGGTGTGATGCCTCACCCAAGACTGTGCTCCTTCATTCATCCAGCGTTTATTGGCATCTCCTACTACCTGAGCTGTTTTAGGCAGGGAACAAAGCACAGATAAGCCCTCCTGGAGCTTACATTCTGATGAAGGGGGCAGGCAAGGTATACATAGGGAGGAAAGCCCTGGAATCCAGTACATTAAAAACTTTTATTAGGATTATCTCTGCTGCATTTAGTTGTATGTATCCCTTATGGCCCCCAGGCAGGTCCACTCCTGGGCATTCAAGTCGGTCCATGTGTCAGGCGTGCAGGGTGGGTCACAGCATCTAGGAGCTCAGTGCAGCTTGGGACTTTGGGACATACGCTCCACCTCTCTGAGCCTCAGTCTCCTTGTCCATCATATAAGGAAATCACTGATTCCAGCCTTCCTGGGCTGTGGAGAGGATTCCCTCAGCGGCTGTGAAAGAGTGCTTTCTTGCGGGTCAGCCCCGACAGGACAGACTTAAGGGCGGGAGGGAGCCCATCCCGCTTGCCCCAACGAACGCGGGCGCGGGGCTTTCCTCGCAGGTTACATAAGGCAGCCGCGGGTGGAGGCAGCAGAGGCGAGCGCACGTCCGTCGAGGGGGAAAGGGGCGTGGGGAGGCGGCCGGGGCGGCCGGTATCCCCCGGGCGTGAGTGCGCAGCGCGCGGGGGAGCGCAGGGCGCGGCGGAGTCGGGTTTCAGAGCGCGGGTGACTCGGGGCGCGGGCCGGGAGCCGGGATTCTGCCCGCCGCCGCCGCTGCCGAGCGCCGCCTTTGTTCCCTGCAGGAAGGGCGAGCGCGGCGGCCAGCGCTCAGCGACCCTTCGTCCTCCGCTAAGCTCCAACGCTCTGCTCGACTAGCCGCGCGCCTTCCGGGGCTCCGCAGACCCGCGAGATGGCACCAAGGTAAGACCCGCTTCTCTGCTTCCTCGCGTCCCGGGCCCCTCCAATACTCTTGCCCGCCTCACCTTTTCTCCCTCGGGCACATCTTGCAGGAGGAACAACGGGCAGTGCTGGTGTCTGCTGATGCTGCTCTCGGTCTCCACGCCCCTCCCTGCTGTCACCCAGACCCGCGGTGCGACAGGTAAGCAACCCGGTCGGAGGGTGGCACCGGCTGCCTCCGCGCCCGTGGGGGAAGTCGGTTTTGGCGGCGGACGCGGCTGCGATGCGTGCCTCATTCCTGGACATAAAAGGGAGTCTTGCCACTCAGTGCGCACTGGCGGTCCCGCGGGCGGCTACCTCCTGGCAGTGCAGGGGTTATAGCTGTGAATGGGATCCCTGGGCAGCTGGGGCGGTTGGAGCGTTGTCTGGGCACCCGAGATGTCTGAGCTGGGTGCGGAGCCTCCAATCTTAGGCAGAGAGGGACTTCAGAAACAGCGCCAGCGCCAGCGCCAACAGCCTCAGCGCACCCAGCGCCAGCAGCTTAGGTTGTGCGTGCTGGCTGGCTTCTGGTAAGGGCAGGTCTGGTGCCTCTCCGCACACAGGTGCGAAGCATGAACACCGGGAGGGACATCTGGGGCTTTTGCTGCTCAAGAAATAACGGAACTGAATTGCTCGGTTGCTTAACCCAGCTCTGAGTTACCTAAGCGGTCACGTCTATCATGGGCAGTGGCTCCACCGGTGGTGGAAAGAGCTGTGGCCTGGAAGCCAGAGATCTGATCCCTTCCGTTCCCCGGGCCTCAGTTTCTCCAGCAGAACTCAGGCGGTTGGCTGAATAGTAAGATATAAGTTAAAGTAGACCTAAGTTAAAATGGGCCTCGGTTAAGGTCAGACTGCCTGGGTTTGAACTGTGGCTGGCTGAGTGATCTTGGGCAATGGATTTCATCGCTCTGTGCCTCAGTTTCCCCATCTGAAAAAGGCGATTAATTAGACCATTTTACCTTCCTAGAAATGTTGTGAATATTAGAGAAATTAGAAATAATGTGCTTCCCATGATTCCAGTATATACTAGGCACAAAATAAGTGATAGAAATTACTGCTTGATTCTTGCAGTAACTATGTGTTGGAAAGCAATGCAAGTATTTTTATTTTTATTTTAGATTCAGGGAGTGGTCATGTGTGGTTTTTTACAAGGGTATATTGCACGGTGCTGAGGTTTGGGCTTCTATTAATCCCATCGCAATGCAGGTATTTTTATAACATTGAGGTTGAGAGAAGCTTAGAAAGTGGCCAGTCCAAAAGCCAGGACTTGAATCCAGGTCTGTAGGCTCTTGCCCTTGCTCAGCTCTTTCTCCATGCAGTTTTGCAGAAGAGCCATGCTTTCTATAGCTTCTGACCCCCTCCCCTTTGAATTTGGGGGATTAGTACACATCTTCAATTGAATAAGGGAACAGAAAGTCTAGGAAACAACCTCTAGTCGGCCCAAAGGAAACGGGATTGAGAAGGTGGCCTTGGTTAACTCTTTGTTTGCCTGAAGAAGCCCAAGACAGCCCATTGTCTCCTGGGCAACAAGACCCAAATCCGATGATAGCTTTTCCTGCCAGAGTGTCCAGCCTGGCATTTATTGCAGATCAAAGGGCAGCTGGAGTATAGTTTTAGCTTCTCAGCCCCATGGCTCATGTCAGAAAGTTGCAATTTTGCATATGATATAGGGCCCTGCCAACTCAGTGGCAGAGGCCAACTTTGGGTTCCATGGTCTTTTGTGAACTTTGCTGCAACTTCCAGTTTCCCAAAAGGAAGATGGATCTGGGGATAGGAACTTTGGTGTTTCTTTCTCCTCCTGTGTGTGTCTCTGGGATCCCTCAGTGTCAGGGCTGTTGTTTCTAACACAAAGGAAGCCCTATTCCCATTTATAATGTAAAAAGGGAGGGCCAGCAAACCTTCAGGAGCTGAGAACGGTCTAAGGAGGGCCATTTGCAACTGATGGGTTTTCAGTGCCCCTTTGGGGATGTGAAACGATTCCTAAAAATGTAAACTATCCTCCTGCAAACTGCATTTGTAATGCAATTTAATATCCCTAATACTTATAAAACACTTTGTATATCCAGGTGGAGGTGTGAACATGTTCATATTTCATTCATCCAATCCTTACAACCACTCCAGGAGGTGAGGACTGAGAACAGTTACTATCTCTGTTTTTCAGATGAAGAAACAGAGGTCCAAAGTCACAAGACTTCTAAGTGGCTGGGGTGGGATTTGAACCAGACAGTCTGACTCCAGAGTCCTTGCTCTTAACCATCCTAGTGTGTAGTTAGAAGAGCTTCACGGATGGAGAAGGCTTTAGGGGTTCCATGGTCTCCAATGAGCCCCACAATCTGAATGTCACAATTGTAACATGAGTCCATTGCATGGCATTGTGCAGTCTTCAAAGCACAATGTCACCTTCACCACGTCCCTGGAATCACCACCCAGCAGTGCTGAGAAGTAAATTGGGCTCTGTCTTACAGAGGGGATGTGACTTCCTCAAGGCCGCATGACTGTAACTGGGTAGATCCATAATAGCCCTCTCACGTCTGTGAACTTCTGGGCTGGTGCTGTTCCTTCCATAGGACCACTGCCCAACTGGCTATAAAAAACAATTGCCAAGACTTCATAGCACTATGAACCAGCAGTGTTTTAAGTGCCCTGCCATGAATGAGCTCAGTCAATCATCACAACAACCCCATGTCTTATCCCCTTTTACAGATGAGGAAACTGAGGCACAGTCTTTTGCCCAAGGGCATGTAGCCTTCAGTAATATAAGCACAATTTGAGCCCAGAGGGTCTGACTCCAGAATCTGTACTTGTAACCACTATGCTGTATGCTTAAGTGGGGTGGCTTCTGAAAGCATGTTTGTAAGTGGGCTGTTATGAGCGGAAATACATGTTCCCAACGATTTGGCAGTTTCTTAAAATGTTAAATATATACTTACCCTACAATCTAGAACTTCCACTCCTAAGTATCTACTTAAGGGAAAGGAAAGCATATGGCCACCCAAAAACTCATATGTATGTTCATAGCAGCATTATTTATAATGACCAAAACTGGAAATAAAGTTAAATTCACCATTAGCTGGTGAATAGATAAACAAATGAGGTGTATCCATTTAATGGAATACTACTCAGCAATAAAAAGGAATGAAGTATTGATCAATGCTACAACAACATGGATAAACCTTAATACCATTAAGCTAAGTAAAAGAAGCCAGACATTAAAAAGCAATACATTGTAAGAGTCCCTATATATGAGATTTCTGTAAAGGCAGAACCACAGAGACAGAAAACAGAAGCAGAGATTGACTGCAAAGGGGCATGAGGAAACTTTTTGGGGAGTGTTCTAAAACTGGATTGTGGTGGTAGTTGTGCAACTCTATAAATTTACTAAAATAATCTAACTATACATTTAAAATGGGTGAATTTTATGGAATGTAAGCTATGCCTCAATAAAGCTGCTTCTTAAATAAAAGAATGTATTTTCCCAGAGCATCTAGGCCCCAGATCTGGTGGGGCTTCAAGGTGGGGTTCCTAGCCAGCCTGGTACAGAGCTGGCACACAGCTCACAACTTAAAAGCTGCTGGCCTCTTAGGGCATTGATTCTCTCAGAAAATGGGTCCAGAGTTCTGCCTGCACCTCCAGGTCTCTGGATCGACTCTCCCTACTATCCCTGAATGCCATTGTGGGCCCAGGACAGGGCTCCTCAGGTAGGGGTAGAACACATGCATATGGGTTTTTTGCAGGTAGTTGATCTGTTAAAAAGTGGGTCTTTGTAAACTTCCTGATATCCTGCACGCCCTAAAACAGCACAAGTTCAGGTATTGGAAAACCTGGGTTCCACTCACTGACTTCCTCCATGAACTTAGATGAGTTGCTTTTCCCACTCTGAGCCTGTTTTCCCATCTACGAAGTGGAGAGGCAAGAGTCACTCATCTCTGTAGTCCTAATTTAAAATGTTGGGAAACAAAACAAAATAATATTTTTCTAGTTTGAGGTTTGATTATTTCACATAGTTTAGTTCAACAAACCCATTCTGTGCTGGCCCTCATGCTGGCTGGGTACAGAAAGGATTTGGGCACAGAGCTGCCCCAAAGGGGTCATAGTTCACAGGAAGAAAGAAAGGGCCACAGACAACTGTAATGCCATTTTTCCTGAAGTCTTCTCATCTACCATGCAGAATGTCCTGTGTGCAGCCAATCCCATCCTTCTACACCATCCTGTTTAAAGACACACTTGTCGGCCGGGCGCGGTGGCTCACACCTGTAATCCCAGCACTTTGGGAGGCTGGGGCGGGCAGATCATTAGGTCAGGAGATTGAGACCATCCTAGCTAACACGGTGAAACCCTGTCTCTACTAAAAATACAAAAAATTAGCCAGGCATGGTGGCGGGCGCCTGTAGTCCCAGCTACTTGGGAGGCTGAGGCAGGAGAATAGCTTGAACCTGGGAGGCGGAGGTTGCAGTGAGCCAAGATCGCGCCACTGCACTCCAGCCTGGCAACAGAGGGAGACTCTGTCTCAAAAAAAAAAAAAAAAAAAAAGAGACACTTGTCAGTGGGTGTCACCCACATGGCCTCTTGTACCTCCAATGGTCAGGGTTGAGCTGGAGGACAACACCAATCCTTCCTTTTCCTGGTAAAGTTTCAGGGTCATTGGAATACCCAATATTTTAGAAGATAAGGGGGCTATTGTCCAGGTAGGGATGGTGGTGTCACAAGTAATTTGCTCTTGCTAATAAAGTGTTGATGATTGCAAATTATTTGCTTATGTTTAAACTGTTTTATTGTGAAATACAACATCCATTCAGAAAAGTGCATGCTAAAGGTACAGTACAATCTTGTATCACAGAGCAAACATGTAATCCAGATGAAGATATAGGATAATCCCCAGAAGGTCTCCTAAACCCCTTTGCTGTGGTTTTATTTTCCCTTCTTTCTCTCTGAGGTAACCATTACCTTGACATTAACAGTCATCCCTTTCTTGCTTTTTAAAAATAGCTTTACTATCTAAGTGTGTATCCCAAAATTCTGAAGTTCTGTTTTACTCGATTTTGAACTTTTTAAATGCAGAATCTATTCTTTCATGTCTGATTCTTTCAATGAATAATAAGTTTTTGAGATTTATTCATGCTGCTGTATGTGGCTGTAGTTCATTGCCATTGCTGTATAATAGTCCATTGCATTAGCATAGCATATGTTACTTATCCATTCTTCTCCAACATTTGGGTTGTTTCCATTTTGGGCTAATGTAATAGTGTCGCTCTGAACATTCTTGTACATTTCTCTCAGTGCACATGTGCATGAATTTCTGTTGGTTCTATACCTACGAGTGGAGTGCTGAATCAGAGTGTGCATATCCCCCAACTGAGTAGACAATGCCAGCATGTCTTCTAAATGGTTGTACAGATCCACACAGCTACCAAGAAATGAGGGCCTCCATTTCTTCACATCCTCACCAGCACTTGATCTTGTCACTGAGCTTAACTTCAGCATTTCTAATGGGTGCATATTTGATCTTACTGTAGCCTTAATTTCCATTTTCCTAATTATTAATTACCTTTTCATATGTTTATTGACCATTTAGATATCCAGACTTACTTTTTATTGAGGTGAAATTTACATTATATAACAGTAACCATTTTGAAGTGCACAATTCAGTGTCATTTAGTTCCTTCACAATATTGTGCAATCAACATCTCTATCAAGTTCCAAAACATTTTCATCACCCCAAAAGAAATATCTATGCCCATTAATCAATTGCTCCCCATTCCCTCATTTTCTCAGCTTCAGGCAGTCACTAAACTACTTTCTGCCTCTATGGACTTGCCTATTCTAGATATTTCATGAAAATGGAATCATACAGTGTATGACCTATTGTGTCTGACTTCTTCCATTTAACATAAAGTTTTCATGGTTCACTCATGTTGTATCATGTGTCAGTACTTCATGCCTTTTTATGACTGAGTAATATTCCAGTGTATGTATATACCAAATTTTGTTTTTCCATTCATTTGTTGATGGACATTTGGGTTATTTCTACCTTTTGTTTTTTGTGAATAGTGCTGCTCTGAACATTTGCATACAAGTATTCGGATGCTTGACGGCCTGTTTCTACTTCTTTGCACCTAGGAGCAGAATTTCTGGTCATATGATAATTCTGTGTTTCAAGTATGACGAACCCCCAAACTGTTTTCCACAGTGGCTGCACCATGTTTACATCCCCACCAGCAATGTATGAGGGCTTTAATTATGCACATCATCGCCAATGCTTGTTTTCAGTTTTTAAAATTATAGCCATTTTAGTGGATATAAAATGGCATCTCATTGTGGTTTTTATTTGCAATTCTTTCTTTCTTTCTTTTTTCTTTCTCCTTCCTTCCCTCCTTCCTTCCCTCCCTCCCTTCCCTCCTTCCTTCCCTCCCTCCCTTCCTTCCTTCCTTCCCTTCCCTTCCTTCCTTCCCTTCCCTTCCCTTCCCCTTCCTTCCTTCCTTCCTTCCTTCCTTCCTTCCTTCCTTCCTCCCTCCCTCCCTCTCTCTCTTCCTTTCTTTCTTTCTTTTGACAGAGTCTCACTCTGTCACCCAGGCTGGAGTTGGTGGCCGGCCCATCTTGGCTCACTGCAACCTCCACCTCCCAGGTTCAAGCAATTCTCCTGCCTTAGCCTCCCGAGTAGCTGAGACTACAGGCATGCCCAGCTCATTTCTGTATTTTTAGTAGAGATACAGTTTCACCATATTGGTCATGTTGGTCTCGAACTCCTGACCTCATGATCCACCCACCTCGGCCTCCCAAAGTGCTGGGATTACAGGCGTGAGCCACTGTGCCTGGCCTATTTGCAATTTTCTAATGACAAATGACGTTGCGCATTTTTTCAAGTGCTTCTTGGCCACCATCTTCTCTGGAGAAATCCTGATTTAATGGGAAGCATATGAATCAGAGCAGCGCAGAACTTCCCTCTAACCACCCCACTCTTGCTCCCTGGCAGTCTGATTTGCTTTTCTGAGTGAGAGAGATGTGGGTAGGAGTCACACCTGAAGTTTTGCCTCATTGACCTGCAGTCTCCATCTCCCAAAGGACAATTGTCTAGAGCTGGCCACTTTGTCCAGAGCTGGACTTTAGCAATTTGTCATTATTATAAATAGTGCTGCTGGGACATCTTCAGACAAATGGCCTTTTTCTTTTGGATTATTTCCTTTGGCAATATTTCCCCCCAAAGAACTCACCCATCAAAGAACAGAACTGGTTGGACAGTTCTTACTATGTATTTAGATGGATTTTTCTTATTTAATCATGATGCTTCCTAGTATAATTGCCCTCACTGGGTTCTCACTGTACCTGAGATGGAGTCATGCTCCTGGCCCCAGAGGACCCTGCCTTCCTCCACTAACACTAAGTCCCTATGGACTTCAGCTCACATCAAATCACTGGCAGGCTTCTGAATGGGACATGCAACGTCCCACACCTGTGCTTTTGCATAGGCTAGTGCCATTTTTATTCTATTATTATTTTTTGGGACAGGGTCTTCTCTGTTGCCCAGGCTGTAGTGCAGTGGTACAATCTTAGCTCATTGAAGCCTCAAAGTCCTGGGCTCAAGGGATCCTCCTTCCTCAGCCTCCTGAGTAGCTGGATTACATACCCTCATACCCAGCTAATTTAAAAATTTTTTGTAGGCATAGAGTTTTGCTGTGTTGCCCAGGCTGGTCTAAAACTCCTGGCTTCAAGCAATTCACCCTTCTTGACCTCCCAAAGTGCTGGGATTACAGGCGTGAGCCACTGCACCTGGCTACCAGTACCATTTTAAAAATGCCTTTCCCCCATAGTACCTGGGGACCCCCAAATCATCCTTCTAAGATTCTACTCTGGGAAGCTGTCTCTCCTCTCCCAGGCATAATGAGCATCTCTTTGTCTCAGGGCTTCTCAGACTGTACAGTGACCACTGATTAGTTGCCTGCATCCCTAACTGCTACATAGGAAGTTCTATGAGGCAGGGATGGGCCTGTCCAACTCTGAATCCTGGAACAGGGATTTCAGGTGCAGGACTGGCATGAAGTGGGTACTCAGCATACTTTTTCAATGAATCAAAGAAGGAATGAAGGGGTTAGTCTAGCCTGTGGTCTAATGCACCAACTTACTATGTTCTCTGTGGTGTGTAAGTCATTCCAATTCTTCCATGGCTTTGTCAGCTGTAGGGTGACCTTGACTGAGTACTCAGGGAATATTATAGGGCTGTCGTTTTCTTCAATAGTGTAATAACTAGTTAGGCTGGAATTCACTCTAATGTTAATTTGCTCTTTATCTTTCTTATTATATTAATTGGATAAAAATTTATTTCCCAGCTTCTCTCTACTCATCTTATTCCTGATTGCCTCAGTTTGTCAAAAGTTGTGCATTTATCTTTTTTCTTCTAGCTAAATATGTAAGTTGATTTTCCAGTTTTCTTTTGATATCTACAGCTTGATCACTTAAAATGAACCATAGATTAGGATATAATCTCTCTTTTTTTTAAGTCTCTCTATGTTGCCCAGGCTGGTCTTGAACTCCTGGGCTCAAGCAATCCTCCCAACTTGGCCTCCCAAAGTGCTGGGATTACAGGCATGAGCCACCACACTTGGCCAGATTAGGGTATAATCTAAAGCCAGTTCTTTTCCAAAGTGGTCCCCAGGTTTCCCCCAAGTACTAATTAAAGTGTGAGCTATTGCCTCATCACTGTACTGCCCATCATTGTTGTGTGATATCTTATCATATAATATTTTTTCTTTTAATGATATACTTTTATTTCTGGTATCTCTGTATTACTGATCACTTTCTTGTGCTAATATGTGTATGTCGTTTTAAATCCATACAATTTTGATGCTTGTTACTTTGTGCTATGTTTTACAGTCTGGTAAGAGAAGTTACCCCTGCCTACCTCCTTCATTAAGCCACGAATTCTTTAGTATAGGTTGGCTTATTCCATAATTTCTGCATGGTATGATTAGATAATGGGAGTGTACCAGTGGTAGTGGGTAGGTGAGGGTTGTAAAAAGGAGGCAATCTTACAATAAGACTCAATTTAAGGCATTAATGTCTAGTGTGGAGAATGGATAAGCAAATAAGACCTCAAAGTCAGAGCATCAGATTGTGGGGTATGACCTATTGCTGTCAACAAAGTGCCCAGGGGAGCTAAGGTGGTATCAGAGGTGTTGGGAGGAGCCAGGTTTGCTGACTGATTACCTTCTTCTGCTCTATCCAAACTACAGAGAGGAAAAGTCTAGGGTTAGAGCAGATCCAGGTCAACATCTAATGAGAGAGACAGGGGTCCCTGGTCACCTAATGAATGCAGCCCACTCTTTATCCCCATTATAACCAAACTCAACCCAACCCAACCCTATCCAACCCAACTCAACCTAATCCAATTCAACCCACCTAATCCAATACAACCCCATCAAACTCAACCCAATCCAACCCAACCCAACCTAATCCAATCCAACCAAACCCATCCCAACCCAACCAAATCCAATCCACTCCAGTTCATATTTGTTGCATACCATGGGTGGTTTAAAGGACAGAACAGGGCAAAAAACTATTCTGAGGGCCCTGGTATCTCTCCCAAGTGACCAGGGCCCCTGACCTTAGATGCCAGGGAACCCCTTTCTGGGTTTGGAGAGCTTGGCTGGAGTCTGGCTTGCAGGCAACACCCTGGCCTTAGGCCTCTCTAGGAGTTACTCCTCCCATCACTGAGGGACTCAAATGGGGCCCAGCTTAAAACACTCCTCCCATCTAGGCAGTCTTTTGTGACTAGCTTCCTCCCAAAGGGAATTTCTGTTGAAGTCTTCAAAATGGTCTGTCTGTTCTGTATTATGGCTTCTCTTACAGATGTCTGTCTTCCTCCTATTATTCCTGGCTTCCTGCTGTCCCAGGCACTCTCTGGAGTAGGTGGCAGGATGGCTGAAGAGCCGCATTAGACTCAGTGCCCATCCTGGAGGGACTCATAGTTCAGTAGTAGAGACAGTGCGCAGAAGCTGGCTTGCATGCTAAGGAGCTTGTCCTGAGTTTCCTAACACAGTGTAAGCAAGCATCTGCACTGCCAAAGTAGGGATGTCCATTTCCACCAGGAGATGGGAGAGGCAGAGGGATGTGAGAAGTGTTTGTAAGAGATTCATTTTTTTCAATAAAATTTTAAAAATTGGTAATAAAAATAATACATAGTTATTATAAAAACTAGGGCCAAAAAGAGGAGTTTAAAAAGATCACATATTATCTTGTGACTCAAAGATAAACCCTGCTAGCATTTGATGGACTGTGTTTCAAGTTTATTTTCCACCCCTAAGTATGCACATAGATCATAATATGAACAGAACATTCTGTACATTGCATTTAGTGTTTAGTTGATGGCTTTTTTCCCCCTTAACAATCATCTAGACACCTTCTCTGGAACATTAAATACTCGTCTCTAATATTTTTTGTGTTTGTAATAGTATTTCATTGTTTGGTTGTCTTGTAATTAAACTTTTAGGCTGTTTCTCATTGCTCACTATTATGAACACTATTGTGACGATCGTAGTCTTGTAGCTTTGTATTTGACGACTTCTGCAATTATTTCCTAGCACAACACAATTTCCTAAAACAAATAGTTGGGTCTAGTGCATGCCCATTTTTAAGGCTTTTGTTGCATTGTTCAGACAGGCAATAATAATTTATACTCCCTGCAACAGCATATGAGAACGCCAAGCCCACCCTGCCTTGTCTATTACTGCTGTGTCTCTAACCCAAAAGGAGCAAATGACAACAGGTAAAGGAACAGTGCCACCATCCTTCTCCAAATGGTGGCCTTACTCAAAAGAGCTGAGGGCTCCTCCCACCCTCCCTCTCCACTCTTCTCCTTCATTCATCCATTTTGCACATGTCTGTGGAAGGGCTAGAAGAGGGTTTTTCAGGAAATTAGAATGTGAGAGCTCATGTCATGAGGACCTTGATGGTCATCAGGCCTCCAGTACCTTGGAATCATTTTGGGGATTCCAAGGGGGCCTGGTGCCCAGTCCTCCAGCTCTTCAGGGATTCTTCATACATCTGAGATAAGGTCCAGACACCAGCAGGTTTGAAAATCTCCTGGGTGCAGTCTAAGATGCAGCCAAGGCTGAGAATAACCAATGCAGTCCAACTGCTTCCTTTCAAAGGTGGTGATGCTGAGTCCCAGAGAGGGACTCCTTGTCTTCCTTATCTGTAAATTAGGGCAATTCCTACTCTAAGGATTAGTGATCGGGCCTGTCACTGGTGATCAGTTCAATGCCTCCTTACTTCCCTGCTCCCACATCACTGTGGGTTCCTTGAGGGCAGGAAGCCGTTTTTATTTATCCATGTTTCCCCAGCATCTGACATGGCACTAAATGGACACAATGAGCATTTGAATAAGTTAATGAATGAATCATTCAAAGCCTGGGACTGTGGAGATCTTAGTGAAAACCCAGCATTATGAACCTTTGACCAGCAAAGTCTATGTGCGCCTCCAGCCACACTGAAAGACCACCCTGCAGCCATCCACTGTGCAGGATGATGGGGCTAGAGCAGGGTGAGAGTAGGCACTGCCTATAGTATGTATATCAAGAATAGAATGTTTCATGAAAGAAAAGTTAAGCTGTGCTTTTTCTGGCATAGGAAAGTTACAACCATTTCATCTCACAGAACATAGAGTAGAGATTCTAGCTGATGACAAGCTGAACCCAAGTTCTTGCAAGTTCAACAGCATTACACACAGAACCTCTGAAATAGGCCCAGCCAACTGCTTCTCCTCTCCAACTACAATCTTAGTGGCTAGCTAGTTCTGACTTGATTGTCTAGCTCAGAGAAGGAAAGTGACTAGCTCATGGTCACAGTTCAAGTTGGCAGGAGAGCCAGGTCTAGAACCAGGTATCCTGACTCCTAGGCCAGTGCTCTGGTGCTTCACATGAACCTAAGAAAATACCAAGGGTATGGCTGGGGTATGGTGGCTCATGCCTATAATCCCAGCACTTTGGGAGGCCAAGGCAGATGGATCACCTGAGGTCAGGAGTTTGTGACCAGCCGGGCCAACATGACAAAATCTTGCCTTTACTAAAAATACAAAAATTAGCTGGGCGTGGTGGTGCACGCCTGTGGTCCCAGCTACTTGGGAGGCTAAGGCAGGAGAATCTCTTGAGCCCAAGAGGCAGAGGTGGCAGTGAGCCGAGATCATGCCACTACATTCCAGCCTGGGTGGCAGAGAAAGTCCCCATCTCAAAAACAAAAACAAACAAAGAAACAAAAAACAACAACAACCAAAAAACAGTATGATCTGTGCTAATAATTATATAGTGCTTTTTATGTGCCAGGTGCTGTTTTAAGTTTTAATATATAGGATATACATATATGTTATATATACACACATGCATATCCACATACACACATCTGTGTGTGTATGTATATGTTTTATATAATATACATTTTATATGTACATTTACATATATGTATGTGTATCTGTGTGTGTATTTCATATGTGAAATTCTCACCACAGCCTTGTGAAATGAAGAAATTCAATTACAACTTGACATCAGCACACAGGTCTGTCTCCCAGCCTCCATCCTCTCCACCCTAGAATCCATCCTCCACACTGCAGCCACAGTAATCTTCTAGCTTCTTGCCACTCAATCTTCTTGCTTCTAGCATCTTGCTACGTGTGGTCCATGGACCAGCAGCATCAGCATAACCTGGGAACTTGGCAGAAATGCAGAATCTCTGGCTTCACCCCCAGAACTCATAAATCAGAATCACACCATCTAGGGGACTGAGGATAGCATTTTAACAAGATCCTCGGTGATTCGTGTGCACTTTTAACATTTGAGCAACACTCTAAACCAGCTCTGATTGTGTTGCTCCCTGCTTAAAACCCTTTGCCATCTTCCCATGATCACCATCTGTGGTAGGCAGGGTCATGGCCCTCTGAAGGACCCACAGCCTAACCCCCAGGACGTGTCACTCCATTAGGTTCTATAGCAAAGGGAGTTAGGCTGCAGATGGAATCAAGGCTGATAATCAGCTGACCTCAAATGAGGGAGATTGTCTCCGATTATCTGGTTGGGCCCAATATCATCACAAGCGTCCTCAAAAGTGGAAAAGGGAGGCAGAGGAAATCAGAGTGGTGTGATGTGAGAGGACTTGAGCATCCTTGTTTGCTAGCTTTGAAAATAGACGAAGGGGCCACAAGCCAAGGAATGCAGGCAGCCTCTGGAAGCTGCAAAAGGCAAGGAAACTGATTTTCCCTTAAAGCTTCCAGAAAGAACCATGGTCTGCTGATACCTTAATTTTTATCTCAGTAAGACCTGTGTTGGACTTCTAACCTCCAGAACTGTAAGATAAAAAAACTTGTGTTGATGTAAGCCACTAAGTTTGTGGTAGTTTGTTATAGCAGCATTGGAAGATAAATACAGCCTTCTACTCCTTAGTGTGGCATTTGAGGCCCTCTGAAGTTCCACCAAGTGCTGTCCTGGCCTCATCTCCCAGAATATCCCTTCCCACACCCTAATCTCAAACCAACAGAGTCTCCAGAGTAGCTAGAGTATGGGAAGGGACACTCTGAAAAAACCAGACTAGGGTTATTTCTCTCTCTCTCTCTCTCTTTGTGTGTTTGTGTGAGACAGGTTCTCACTCTGTTGCCCAGGCTGGGGTGCAGTGGTGCAATCACAGCTCACTGCAGCCTTGACCTCCCTGGGCTTAAGTGGTCCTCCAGCTCAGCCTCTCAAGTAGCTGGGACTGCAGGTGTGCGCCACCATGCCTGAATAATTTTTCTATCTTCTTTTTTTTTCTTTTTTTAAGAAATGGGGTTTCACTGTGTTGCCCAGACTGGTCTCAAACTCCTGGTACAGGCACCATCACACCTGGCTGGGGTTGTTCTCTATGCCACCAGCACCTAGCCCTGTGCCTGGCCCCTGGCCAGTACTCAGGCAATGCCTTTTGAAGTAATAACCCAGTGGAACCCTGTTACGTTCAGGTCGCCACCAGCCACGGAGGAGCCCATGACATGCCGGAGGCAACTATGGCAACAGTGCGGGACATGGTGGAGACTCTCCCAGAGCCTCAGCCTTAACATTCCTTTGCTCTTCTTCTGCTGTGGGCAAATCACTGTACCTCTCTGGGCCTCAGTTTCCCCATCTGGGAAATGAAGGGGTTGGAAAGACAATTCTAAAAGCATCGTTAGCATGAACATGCTAGGATATCTGAGTTCAGTTTGGCCGCACGTTCTGGCAGTTGGGGGCAGTGATTCGGCTCAGCTCTGCTCAGCCCTGTTCATCTCACTGCTGAGCACATCCTGCACTGTCATCCCATTCACAAAGTGGGATACAAAACTGCCCAGCAACTGTGTGTATTTGGTACAAAACAGACTACAGCTGCTCATTCCCCCTGTCTAGTTAAAATGCCAAATTACTCACTCTCCCACAGAAAGAAAAAAAGGAGGGGTGGAAGAAACCATTTCTCACTGCAGAGTTTTTCCATGTGACATATTTTCTAATTTTATTTCAGGTCTAACTGTCTGCAGTAGATGGCTCCATTTCAGGGTCTTCCCCTCCCCTTTTAGTATATGAGCTTTCATTAAGGAATGAAGTGGCTTTATTTGTTTAATATTTGCAAGTGTGGGCTGATATCAAATTGCAACTGAATGTCTTCATTTTCTCGGCGGAGGGAAGTTCTCTAAGATGCCCCGCACTGGTTTAGTGGCTCGGATTCCTTGGTTCTAGGCCTGGTCACAGGAGCTTTGCCAAGTCCCCTCCATTCTCTGGACTTAGAAACTCAAAGTGAGTATTCCGCAAAGTGAGGAAAAGGCTGGCTCATCACGGAGATAGGGTGGCTGGATTGGAAGCCATGGCTGATGCGCCCCATTTCTAAGAGTGGTTCCATTTGAGACTGTGTTGGAATGGTATGCAGCTCAGTTTATGTCTGTGCTCAGCTCCTGTCATCTCTGCACTGTTGCTTTAGTTCATGGAATGGCTGAGAAATTTTTCATACCTGGAAAGAGTATTGTAGCTTTGTTTTAAAGAAATTAATTCTGGCCAGGCATGGTGGCTCACATCTGTAATCTCAGCACTTCAGGAAGCCGAGGTGGGAGGATCTCTTGAAGCCAGGAGTTCGAGACCAGCCTAGGCAACATAGTGAGACCCTGTCTCTACAAAAAAAAAAAAAAAAAAAACTAAAAACTAAAATGATCTGGGTGTGGTGGCATGAACCTGTAGTCCCAGCTACTCAGGAGGCTGAGGCAGGAGGATCGATCACTTGAGCCCAGGAGACCACCATGCCTGGCCAGAATTAGTTTCTTTAAAACAAAGCTACAGTACTCTTTCCAAGTTATGAAAAATTTCTCAGCCATTCCATGAACTAAAGCAACAGTGCAGAGATGACAGGAGCTGAGCACAGACATAAACTGAGCTGCATACCATTCCAACACAGTCTCAAATGGAACCACTCTTAGAAATGAGGCTGCAGTGAGCTGTGATTGTGCCAGTGTACTTCAGCCTGGGCAACAGAGTGAGATCTTGCCATAAAAAAAAAAAAATTAATTCTGCCCCTGCAATGTCTGTTGCATGCAACCTCTCCCTTCTATCTTCTTGCCCTGCCTGGCTTCAGGCCTGTGTTACCTCTTTCTGCTGGGTTGCTACAGCAGCTCCCTGGCCAGCAGGATCTCCCATCTCTCTGTCCTCTAGCATGGCTTCTCACTGTGAGTCAGAGTAGCTTGTCTAAAACACAGGTCCCATCATGTCACATCCCCTGTCAAAACGCTTCCATGTTTTCTGTGACGCACAATGCATTCCACACTCCTTGGGTTGCAGTTCAAGGCCTCTTCTCCTCTCACATCCCTCCCCGTACCCTGGCTCTACCACCCTGAACTGCTTGCTGGTCTCTGAATTGACCATGCATGTTCCCTTCTCCAAGCCTTTGCTTGCGCTGTTCCTCAGCCTGCCCTATGGAAATCCTCTGCATTTTCACCTTGATAGACTTGTTGCTTAAACTGTGGTCCCTGGACCAGCAGCATGGGCATCATCCAGGAGCTCATTAGAAACAGAGTCCCAAGGCCGGGCACAGGGGCTCACACCTGTAATCCCAGCACTTTGGGAGGCCAAGGTAGGGTGATTGCTTGAGGCCAGGAGTTTGAGACCAGCCTGGGCACCATAGTGAGACAACATCTCTATAAAAAATTAGCATGATGTGGTGACATGTGCCTGTACTCCCAGCTACTTGGGAGCCTGAGGTGGGAGGATCGCTTGAGCCCAAGAGGTTAAGGCTGCAGTGAGCCGAGGTCACACCACTGAACGAACCCCAGCCTGGGTGACAAAGGGAGACTCTGTTTCAAAAATAAAAAAGAAAAAAAAGAAAAGAAATACAGGATCCCAAATCCTGCCTCAGACCCACAACATCAGATCTAGACCCACAGCATCAGATCTAGACCCACGGCATCAGATCTGTACCTTAACCAGGCCCCCAGGTGATGTGTGTGGCACTCAAGTGTAAGCTGCAGTGCTGTGTAGCTTGGAGGGCAAGTGCTGAATCTGGGCAGTCAGATAGAGCTGGCCTGGTTCCAGGCTCTGCATGTATCAGTTGGTGACCTTGGACAATGTACTAATCCTTTTGAAACCTCAGTTTCCTCATCTGTAGAGTGAGGAAACTATAAACGAAATAACGCCCCAAGCTCTTAGCACAGTGCCTGGCACATGGAAAGCCCTTAATGAAGGGGAGTGGCCAGTAACAAGGTTCCATCTCAGTGCTAGCTGATGTTGTGCCTAAGCTGTCCTGTGTCCTCTCTCAGCATTGCTTGTATTGGGTTTATTCCATCAGAGGTGAGAACTCATTTGTAAGTCCATCTTGCTGAGGATGGGAAGGGCCAGGACCAAGTCATTTGTGTTTGGAGTTTAGAATCATTGACCTTCCAGTGGAGGGAGATAAACAATCATAATCTGATGTGGGGAAAGTGAAACATAGCTAAACAAGGACTTTGCAAAGTGGGTGGGATGGAATTCATTCCAGAGTTTCTGCCCTTGGTAGAAATGGCCATTCTGCCTGTTGTAACCTGGGGGCTTTCTCATTCATCCATTTGTTTACCCACTTTTATGTAATATGTATTGACTGTTCTCTGAATACAAGCAATGTGTGATATCCTGGGCAGAAAATGAAAAGCAAGATAGGCTTGCTGCTTGCCCTCTAGGATCCTATAGTCTAATGGGGGACATTGATGCTAAATAAAGGATTGTACAAAAAGACTCTTTATGTTTATAAATGGTAGAAAATGTTAGAAAGTGCAATGAGAGCTATGAAAGCACATGCCAGGACACTCTCATCTGTACCAGGGTGTCAGGAGAGTCTCCCCAAGGAATGGGATTTAAGATGAGATCTGAGGGGTGAACAGATTTAGCCAGGAAAGGAGGTGGGGATGATGGGCTGGAAGAGGAGTGGAATGTTCCAGATACAGAGAAACAGAATGAGGAGAGGATGGAAGAGACAGCCTGAATGTGGCTCGAACACGTTGAGGGAGGAAGGCAGGGTGAAGTTTCTGGGATGAAAGCAGGGCCTTCGCCCAGGAGCCGTTTTTCCTAGCCTGGCCCTGGGGGAGCATCTTGGCTTCCCACCCTCGGTCAGTCCTGCAGCACTACCGCCCAGGGCCACCCGGGGTAAAGGCCTTTGGTCTAGGTAGAGTGCAGTCAAGCCCTGGATTCTACTACCTGCCTTGCTCCTGCCTCTGCTTATCAGACAGTGAATTGCTTCAGGGCGGGGGCAAAGGGTCTCTACCTTTACATAGCGTAAGAGAAGAGAATTTAAGAGACTTGCAGTAAAATGTCAGGAAGGCAGAGTCAGAAGAAAGCCCGGAGCCA
This sequence comes from Homo sapiens, assembly GCF_000001405.40. NCBI lineage: Eukaryota > Metazoa > Chordata > Mammalia > Primates > Hominidae > Homo > Homo sapiens. The sequence continues at coordinate 98,961,919 of NC_000009.12, forward strand.
GCACAAAGAGCCCCTGGTCCACCTTGGCCTCTCAGGGCCTCCCAGGCCACGACAGCTGCCTGGCAAAGAGGTGGTGGAGGCAAGTGAGGAAGGTTTCTAACAATTGCTGTCTGCGGTTAGACTCCAGTCAGTCCTGGCTTTGGAAAGCTTCCTCCCGTCTATACAACGAAGAGGTCGGACCAGCGCTAAGGTCATCCAGGTCTGACATGATCTCTTTTTATTTTTTATCTCTCTCTGGATCTCTGTATTGAGAATGTGCATCCGTAAACATAGGAAGAATTCTCTTGCCAGGGAACAGAAATGCGGTTTGGGGAGGAATAACTCGGGTGGGAGGTTTTTAGATGCTTTCACTCAGGGGAGCAATTCCTTTAGACATGGTTGTACCCGTGAGACGTGGGGGATGCATTACGCCTCTCCTGTCCAAGCCATTCCTTTGGAGACCTGCTTCTCAAATGGGTGTGCTCACAGTCCTTGGCTGTGTGACACTAGCATGCGAAGAGCCACATTGTTTATTTCCTGGAGGATTTTACTCAGTGGTTGGTAATTTGTGGTGAGGAGACCAGTAACAACTGGGGAATAATTTGGAACATTTTTATATTATTAAAACAAACACACACACATGTTTGGAGTGGAATTCAAAACTTAAGTGCTTTTAAAGATAAAGCAAGAGAATTAAATTTTCAAGGTCCTGGGGGGCTCTTTGGCTAGACTCAGGCCCTCAGGTTTATCTGATGACAGAGTGCTTTAGCAGAGATGATGTTATATACAGATTTGAGGTCCCCAACTTGTGGGGGATATTTAGAATTATTGCAAAGGATACATGGACATTTTCTGTCTACAGATACCTAACACCTGTGTGTTGAGGGGGCTATTAATGCTTTGATATTGACAAGATGGAGATGGTCACTGCCCTCCAAAGCTTTGGATTAGAACTGTCAGCTCCAAGAGGGAAGGAACTTGTCTATCACTGCTGGATCTCCGGCACTTAGAATAGTGCCTGCTGTACAGCAGGTGCTCAATAAATGCTTCTGGAATGAATAGAAATGTGTGTGTTGATGGCCATGAGAAGCTTTCATTTCTCCATCCACGTTTACCTTTCCAGGAATAGCGTGTGGAGCTGCTTTAGCATGGAGATCTTGGGTGGAATGTGAAGAATGCTGTCATGCATATGCATGTGGGAGGCTGGTCAGCCTTGCTCAGGTTCAAGATTTCCAAGAATCACTCTTTGGAGGCAGCCTTCCACCCAGCGTGGTCCATGCTGCATAGCGTAGGCTCCTTGTGTGAGAAGGCACAGTTCACCATTTATGCACCTTAGGTAGCTAGGACCCACTGGGCCTCACTTCTCACAATGCCTGCAAGTCCCCCCAAACACCTTACTCCCATCAGAACCCACTGGGAACCTGAGGCCTCAGAAAATGCTGGACTTTGGGGATCAACTATTCCAGCTCCCCCAAATTGCAGACGGGAAGATGGAGGTTCAAAGAGAGCAAGGAACTTCCTGGGAGTCACACACATTTTAGCGATGTGACTCCCAACAGGTTCCTTGTTCTAGAACTGGGTCTGGAACTACGTCTTCTGATATCCAGGTGGGTGGCATCACTCCATTTTGAAATTCCCCAGTGCTGCTTGATCACATCCGTACCATTCTCAGGGATGTGCTTGACAGTAGTGTGTGGTTAGAGCTGAGCTTTGGAAACATCACATGAACTTTAAATCCTGGTTCAACACTTTTTTTAATTATGTGACTTGGGCACATTGCTCAGAAAGAGTGTGGGTTTCCTCATCTGGATGGTGGTGGTGGGTGATGGGTATAGGAGTCCTACCTCCTGAGGCTATATGAGCTACTCAGCAGGTAATGCCCAGGAGTGCTCAGAGCCAGGGATGGGGAACCCAGTGCTGAGCCATCCATCCCACAAAGTTAAGGTCATGCCCATCCCGTTCACCCCAAATCTCCATGACTTGCAGTGCCAGGCATGTGACGGTGTGTGCTTGATAGTCATTTGTGAATGAACAAATGAATGAATGAACAAAATGGACAGAATATGCTTAGCACCTGACATTTGCCCTGTGCCACCACCCTGAGAGCTAAGTATTGCCACCTCTATTTCCAGATAAGGAAGCTAAGGCTCAGAGAAGTTAAAGAACATGCCCAAGATCACCTGGCTAGTACGTGGCTGAGCAGGGACTTACATACAAGTTTCTCTGGCATCAAATTCCACGTCCTTTGCCCTGCACCATTCTGGGGGAGGCTGGTCCTCCTGGGGTTCCCCCGAGGTCACCTCCCCTCCCACCCCCCCATTCTTGGTCTCTAGTTAGGAGGTGTCCACTGGGTTTTCATCTTGGAAGGTCTGATTCCCTCTCCCATTATTCTGGTGGTCCACAGGCTGTTCCTCCAGCAAACATTTGGAGACTGTCAAGCTGTACTTTCATCTAAATTAAACAAGAGTCAGCCTGTTTCAAAATATGACTTCAGGGTCACCATCTGTTCTGGCTGTTCCCTTAAACTCAAATCCCATTTTGGAGCCAAATGGGGCTCCAGCATCCCACAGAGAGTGTGTCTCTTTGCACAACTGAGCAGGAAAGTCTGTAGAAAGACACAGTGTGTTTGACAACAACCCTCGGACAAATTTCTCTGGTTATTTCTTTTCCCCTACTCAGCAGCATCAACGTCATTGCATGTGAACCACAGGTCCCCACCACAGATTCAAATGCATTCCTTTCTACATTGGGTACCTAGTGTGTACCAAGCTCTGTATGAGGCCCTTTCCCATGCCATCTTCCGGGTCATGGGAGAGAGTGGCCTGGATCTTACAGTGGGGGGAATACAACATGCCAAAGCTGCTCGAGCTGGTCACACCATCAGTCTGGGCATCAGTTTTCTCATCTTGGGGACATTGGACTGGGTATTTTCTGAGGTTCTTCCCAGCTCTGAAGGTTACCCTGATTCTTCATCAGCGCCTTGGCCAATGTAGGCGAGATTTCACGGTGCCCACTGAAGCTATGAGCTCGTTCTGACTGCGCTGCTTGTCTGCCCTGGCTGAATTCACACAAGCTCATCTGTTGGGACGCCCCGGGCTGTTCCCAGGGCAGCTTGATTTTGCCCAGGGCATAACATGCCAAGTGCTGAGAGGCTGCAAGAAAGTATGTCTCCTGCTGTTGCCAAACTATCGCCTTCGCACCACATTCCAGATCACCCAATTCCACCCTCTCCTTGGCAAGAAAAAGAAAGGGGACCCAACTGCCTAGGGCAGCAGCTTGGGGTGAAATGAGGATTCCTCCTAAAATGGTCAGCTAGAACCTTCCTCAGGAATCTGCCAAGGCACCCGGTTGCCTGTTGCATAAATTTTAGTCTCCTTGGCTGGACATTTGAGGCTCTCTGACTCCAGTCTCCTAAAGGAAAAAGAATTGAGAGTAGCAAGAGCTGGGAAGTCCCAACCACTGCAGTTAAGGCCTGCAGTCTTAAGCTCCTTCAGCTTCAGTCATCTCATCTGAAAATGGCATAGCCACAGTCCCCACCCCATCAGACTGCCTTGAGGTTAGGTGAGCTAATGCACCTAAGTGCTGAGCTCAGGGTTGGCCTGTTGTGAGATTAACATTTCTAAGTCTGAATCTCTCTGGATCCATAATTCTCTCCTTTTTGCTCCAATGCTGGAGGCTATCTCGGGGTCCCATTTCTCCCATCCTTGGAATCACTCACTTGGCCCTTGTTTTCCTAATTGTGTGGGTTTGCTCATGCTCTGCTCACTCCACTGTGTTCACCTGTGTGAAGCATCTCAGGCCTATCTCCACTGGCCCTTCCTTCAGGTCCCCTTCCCAGTGTCCCCCAGTGGGCGGGGAGTGCTCCCTCTTTAAGCCCCTACAGGACTTTCCTGTCCTTTGCTTATGGCTCCAAGCTCAGGTCACCTGTATCTGGGCCCCGTGTTGGTGTCTGGTCCTTTTTTTCCAGGGGACCCAATTCCTTGTCCTCTTGATCCCCCAGAGCCCAGCCCAGGTCACCTGTATCTGGGCCCCATGTTGGTGTCTGGTCCTTTTTTTCCAGGGGACCCAATTCCTTGTCCTCTTGTTCCCCCAGAGCCCAGCCCAGCGCCAAGTCCAGACAGGGTTGGAAAGTGGATGCTGGTTGTGGACAAGGCCAGACTGGGCCCAGGATAGAATGAATGATAGTAAGGTCCCCTCCTGACTCTTCTTCTGGGAGGGAAGAGAGAGGACCATTCTCCCCTAGGGAGATGTAAATTATGGCTGCCTTGAGGCCTGTGGATAACAACTCAAGAGATTTCATTGACCCCATAGTATCAATCATGCCAAAGAAATCAAGAAACACCCCAGGCCATGTTTCACTTAGAGAAAGACTTAGAAAGCTCAGAATTAAAATACTCTTTCAAGCTCCTCCTATCATTCAGTGCTCCTCCCAACCCAATGCTGCACCCCCATGGAGGAGATGGGGGGCCTTCTCCACACAGGAGGACCAGGGATCTTACCGTTCTGCTCCTGGGATCTCCAGGGCTGGCCTGTCCCATCCTACCTTGCCCCATGGCCCCAGCTCATGCTCTGACACCCGGATAGGCCATGAGCAGCCTCCCTGAGGCCTCTAGCCAAACCTCAAGGACCCTAACAGTATATAACAGAGAAGGGGAAGCCCGGTTGTTCACATTCTCCACCCAGACCATGTTGCAGAGGGGAGGAAGATGGAGGCAGCTGGAAATGAGTCTGAAGTCTGAGAAGCCAGTGTGTTTAAGAGAGTCACTCTCATCTCAGTGAAGGAGAGCCGAGGGCAGCCATTTTGCAGAAGGCTGCTCATTCAAAGCCTCCTGCTTAGGGAGAGGGGATTGCAGCCCCCAGCAAAGCTACAATCGACTCTGTGTGGTTATTAATATTATATTATATCTCAACAGTGGGGATCAGGTGAGAGCTAAGCTATTAAGTGCATATTAAGCTAAATGGTGCTGGTGGGATTACTTGTGACAACTACTGGCATTCATTAGAATTCTTTATGATTGATGATAAATATGATGTGTTAAGACAGGCATACAATCACGCTAGTCTAGAGTCCATTAAGCTCATTCATTCATGCACATGTGTATTATTTGTACATTCATTCGTTCATTCATTCATCAAATGCTCAATTTATGCCTACTTCAGGCAAGGTCTCACATTAGGGAGATGAGGGTGACACTGGGAGATATGGAGATGAAACAGAACATGCTACCTACCTCCTGAAGGGCTCACAGGCTGCTGAGGGACACAGGTGAGGAACAGATAACAGAGTAGTGAGAAATTGGAGCTTTCTGTGAAACTGGCCCTGGGGTGGAATGGGGGTTCCTAGGGAGATAGTATGACTCGTAGACCTGGCCACCGCAGTCCCCTCCTGGAAGGTGTGTGCCGACCCTTCTCTGTACTGACTTTCCCTGGGGAGCCACAGCTCTGTTGGAGACCACAAGTTTCCCCCTGCCTGCAGAACCCTCTCCTGACAGGCCTTGACCCAGGGGGCTGGAGTGCCCAAGCCTCTCTACATCCACTTACCTCCAGGGGCTGACTTGGACAGGCTTCCTGCTGGCCAGCCTTCTTCCCCCACAGCTGGGGCCACTTGGCTGCCTCACCCCAGGCCCTAGGACATTCCTGTTTTCCATCAGTGGGATCTAGTGATTCAGGGGACTTAGCATCCCAACAGCCTGGCTGGGAGGTGGCTTGAATGCTGTGCTATGATCACAGAAAAGCGCTGTCTCTACCATCTAGTACTGGGGCCCTGCCTGGGTTGGTCCATGGTGGAAGCAGTTACAATCCTGCCCCTGCACCCTGTGCCTGGGTCTCTGGCCCCTGCACCAGACGTCTGTGCTGCTGGCTGCCTGCTCTTGTCTCCAGGTCCATGACTGCCCATGACTGGCCTCCATTCAGGTAGTAGGATGCCATCTTTGCCTCAACAGCACAGCAGTTCTCAAACTAGGGTGTGCATCAGAGACACTAGGGGGCTGGTTAAAACACAGGGTGCTGGGCCTCAGCCCAGGGTTTCTGATTTTGTAGGTCTGGAGTAGGTCTCGAGAATCTGCATCTCTAATAAGTCCCCAGATACTGCTGCTGCTGGTCCAGAAACCACACTTTGAGAACCACTGGCGTCATGGATAAGCAGACGGGCTATGGAGTTTGAACCCAGGTTGTCTGGGTCCAAAACCTGGCCCAGCCACTTGCTAGCTGTGTGACCTAATCCCTCTGCACCTCAACCTCCTCATCTATAAAAACAAAGGTAATAAGAACACCCTCCTCACTGTTACTGTGAGTATTGGATGACCCAGTCCAGGCAACTCACTTGCAATCGTGCTTGGACACAGCACACAGTAAGTAAGCATTCAGTGAATGTGTGAGTTTCCTAGGGCTGCGGTAACAAACGACCACAAACTGAGTGGCTTAAAACAGTAGTAACTTATCCTTGTCCAGTTCTGGAGGCGAGAAGTGTGAAGTGGAGGTGTGTGGGCTGGGTGGCACTCCTCCTGGGGCTCTAGCAGGGAATCCATTCCTTGCCACTTTCAGCTTCTGGTGACTGCCAGCAATCCTTGGCTTGTGTCCACTTCATTTTAATCTTTGCCTCTGTGGCCACATTGCCTCTTCCTCTTCTGTCTGTCAAACCCCCTCCATGTGTCTTATAAGAACACCTGTCATTGGATCTAGTGCCCACCCAGATAATGCAGGATGATCTTTTTATCTCAAGATCCTTAACTTAATTACATCTCAAAGACTCTAAATGTAATGAACATATTTAGAAATGAGGACATGGACATATCTTTTCTGGCGGTCACCACTGAACCCACTTTAGGGAACACAGGCTATTATCATTATTAAGTTGTTCCTTCAGCTCCTGCAGTTGGGCCTGGCCTATAGCTTCCTGCCTGGGGGCGGGGGCGGGGAAGGAGGAGTAAGCTGACTCCCAGGTTCCAGCTTCTGGTCAGCTGCACTTTATTCAAGACAACCCATTTTCAGGCTGGGGCAGAGAATTCTGCCTATTAAGCTATACTGGCTATGTTATAGCATTTCAGCATGTTCAGATTTCATTGATCTGAGAAAAAAACGCCAATCCCAGCCCCCCAGACTCCTGTCTGGAGCCCTTTGTCCATGTTAATTGTTCCTCATACCCTGGCAAGTTGTACTTGGCAAAGCATTTTCTCATTCAAAACTCTACTGGATCCTCACTGCAGTCTCATGAGAAAGATTGTATCACCCTATTTTGCAGAAGAGAAAACTGAGGCCCAGGGGAAAATTGCACAAAGCTGCCTTTCATGGCAATTCTAAGCAGTAATTTATGGGAGAGAAAAGAAGGCTAATGTCACTGATAATACTAACTACCACCACCGCTATGCTTCATTCATCGTGGGCCTTTGCTTGGCCCTCTGCTCAGTGTTTTATGTCTATTATCTCAGGTCATTCTCAAAACTCTCTCCTGAAGTAGGTAGCATTCCTCTTGCGGATCGAGAAACTCTGGCTCAGAGAAGTGAAGTATCTTATCCAAAGTTGCCCATCTTTTAAATGCAGAGTTGAGGTTGAGTCTTTCTCCCTAATACCAGGTTGCTCAGAGATCCGTCTCCTAGCTCTGAAAAAATGTCAGGGCAGACCAGAAGAGAACAGTGGCTGCCCAGTGGCCAGCAAGACTGTGGGAGACCCCCTCTCGTTGTCAGCAGAGCCCCGCTCCTGGTAGCTGGTAGGGAGGTGCCCAGTGTTGATGCCCCCAGCCATAGGGAGGGAGTCAGGGCAATGGGAATAGAGAGGCAGATGGGCCCAAGGTCACTGAGGGCTGGGACAACAATAAGGGTGTGCTTCCTGGAGTGGGTCAGGCTTGGGTTGAAGTGACATTCCTGGAGAGCAGCAGAGACAGACTCAATGCCTCGCATCAGACAGATGAGGGCTTAAAATCTCCAGTCTGGGATTTGATAGCTGGGTGCCCTTGGGCAAGTTATTTAACTTCCCAGTGCCTCATTCCTTCATCTGTAAATTGGGAACAAAAAGAGTGGGGTTGTTGTGAAGAAGTCAGGGGCTATAATTAGCATCAACTGGGAAGTTTGTGCAGCCTCCCCATGCCCAAGCCACACCTGAACCAGCTCAATCAACATCTTTGGGAGTGAGGCAAGAGCATTAGTAGTTTAAAAAAAAAAAAAAAAAAGTCTCCCCAGGTGATTCTACTGTGCAGCCAGGGTTGAGAACCACCGCTATGCAAGTAAAGCACTTCGTGCCCAGGACATAGTAAGGGCTCCGTATACAGGAACTATTGCCCATTCACTCATGCACAAAACAAACATTTATTGAGCACTTACCTATGCCAGGCTCTGGATTACATGCCAGGCATCACCTGTTCACAGCAGCTGTCTGAATTTATTTATGTACTATTTCTAGATAGCTTCCAATAGAGGGATCGTGGAATTCAGTGCTTTGTGAAGCCAGGACCCCAAGTCCATAATTCTAGGGAGAAGGTTTTACTGACAACGAGGAAAGGAGGGAAATGCAGAAAATGTACCCAAATCAGAGAAACCAAACCCTGTGTGTGGGAAGAGCAGTCTGAGCTCTCTGAGCCCTTAAGGGGGTAGCAGGAGAAGACAGTGTGGGCTTCAGACTTTCTGTGGGCTCCTCTGTAAATATCTGCCCCTACAACACCCCAGCTTCCACAGCTGTGATGTGGAAGGGCTTTCAATGATTGGTTTGATTGTTTTTAGCCTCAGAACTCTTCATTCAAATGAGACTTAATGGAACCCAAATTATTAAACAAATGAAGTCTGAATTGCTTGGGTGTATGTATATGAGTGTAGGTGAGTGTGTGTGGATGTGGGTTAGTGTGTGGGACAGGGTCTATGAATAGGTTGTGAGTGTGTGAGTAGGTAAGTGTGTGCATGTGTCAGTGTGTGAGTTTGTATGAGTCTAGGGTGAGTGCGGGTGGAGGTGCATGAGTCGGTGTATACTGGAGTATATAAACGTGTGTGTATTTGTATATCTATGTGTTAGTTTGTGTGGCGTGAACCTTCGAAAGTATGTGTATGAGTGTGTGTTATGAGTATGTGAACCTATGCGTGTGTATGAGAGAGTGGTAAGAATAACAGATTTGTACTGTGTATTTGTGGATGTATCCGTGTGTGCATGTGTTCCTGTGTGTTAGGGGGCCAAGGGGCAGGACTTCTGCTAAGGCCTCCTGTATCCTCCTCCCTTTCTCATCCCCAGCCCTGGAAAATACTGCTTGAAACCCCCTGGTCTATGTGTCTACACTGGCCCTGCCAGCAGTCCTGTGTCGCCTTGGAATGCTGGGCCTGACGGCTTCCAGGAGCCATGGGCTGTAGAGCATCCATGTCCAGCAGGTCACTGCATGCTCCCATCCCATGCCCCTCACGTGCCCCTGACAGGCCCCTTTTTCTCCGTGCCATTTTCCATGTGTTTTCCTCCCAGAGCCCTGAGCTGAGCCCTCCAGAGCTGCCTGCCGGGTGGGGGTGATGACTCATTTCAGTTGATGTCATCCTCAGGATTCAAGGCTCTCAATGCACTCAAAGAGTCTTTGTTCCCCAAATGGAAAAGGAAAGTCCGTACACCGAGAAGAGCTGACAACGAAACTCTTCCCAGATGCCCATGGGTGCTCACGCCTGCCCGCACCTGCTGGCCTTCACTGTGCCACCTAGTCCACATGGTCCCTGGGGTGGCTTTGTGCCCAGGATCCAGGAAACAGAGGTTGAGGGAAGGGGGTAAAGGAAGGGACGTAAAGACCCCCACTGCAGCAAGACAGCAGGAACCACTGCTTCTTCCTGAGATTGGATATGCTCTTGCACTGCGGCTAACTGCTGCCAGGACTGAGGGGTCCGCGTGTGTGCGCATGCACGTGGGCATGTGTGAAGGGAGCGGTGGTGAGCAGAGCTGGGTCACAGGATAGGGGAGTCACCCCATGCTCTCAGCAGAGCCGGGTCACAGGATGGGGGAGCCACCCCACGCTCTCTCTCTCTGGGCTGCTCTCCTCAGTTCCTTATCCGCTGGGCCTGTTCATCAATTATGTTGCTAATTCTTTCATGGCTAGCAGGTGGTTGTGAGGCTGAACGGAGGTGCTGTACTGACAGCTTGAGAGTGCCCCGCCCTGGTCAGCACCCAACCCAATGAGCGAGGACTCCCAGTGTTTACCAAATGCTCACTACACACCAGGCCCTGTGCGAAGTAGGGTTCTCACTGTGTTGTCCGTTCTCACAATATCTCTGTGAGCCAGGTCCTAGTGCTGCCCCACTTTATAGATTAGGAGGCTACAGAGGGGCGAGGTGATCTGTGGAAAGGCCATGAGTGGCAGACCCAGGACTAAGCATAGGTCTGTCTGATGCCAAAGCCCAGGCAGTTAGCCCTTACCCGTGGCTGTCACTTGAGAGTGGGCATCAGATTGACGCAGGCAAGACCCTGAAAGACTCTGATTCCATAGGCCCAAGCAGGAGGGGCAGACCTCTGACTTTTAAAAGCTCCCAGGGGTGACTCTGATATGTGGCTAGGGCTGCAAACTTCACACCAGCCTACCTTACCTAGTCCCATTTGAATCTTGACTCCAACTGCTTATTAACCTCATGGATTTGGAACAGTAATTTAAGCCTCAGTTTTCTAACCTGCAAATGGGGATAATAATATCATCCATCTCAGAAAGAATCAAGTGTAAGGATGACTGATTTGTGGAAAGCCCTTTGAACAGCACTTGGCATGCAGCAAGCCTGCAGAAAATTTTAGCTGCTGATGCTGTTGTTTCTTGACATTCTGTTCATTCAGAGTCCCCTTTGCCAGGCTCTGTGCTGGTGCTGAGGACCGAGAGATGAGTTGGCATGGTCCATGCCCAGGGCCCATGTCTAAGCATATGAGAGCAAGGTGAACTGGCCACTGGACTGCAGACAGATGAGGGTGTCTGGGAGGAAGGATGGAGGGGGACTGAGGGAACACAGAAGTATGCAGCTGGGCCTGGGAGAGCCACAAGGAAAGCTTGAAAGGCAATGGGCTGTAACAGGCAGAGCCCAGCTTCACATCTTCAGTGCTGGCTGCTGCACCGAGGATTCTGAGTGAGTGACTTCCTGTCTCTGGGGCTTGACTCCCTACTCTGCAAAATGAGAGAATGATCCCTGCGTTGCCTGCCTCCTGGCAGAAGGAACGGGTAAGAGGATGCTTTGGAAACAGAAGAGGATACTGGACAGGTGAGGATTACTTCCTGCTGGGCTAAGTGCTTTTCAGCTGCTGGCCAGGAAAACCAAGCTTCAGCCAGGACCCCAGCTCCAGGCTTCCTCAAATCGTCTTCTCCAGTTTAGGTCAGAGGCTCGAGAAAGCAAGAACGAGAGAACAAGAGAGCAAGAGAGAAAGAGAGAGAGGGAGAGAGAGAGAGAGAGGGAGGAGAGCTTATACAGTAACTTCATTGAACAGGAAAATTCCTATGCTATATATGAAAACCGGAAAAGAGAAGGAGGCGTTCTAAGTTTACATGTAGAAAAATGCTCTTCTGTAATTCAGAAAAATAGGGTCTTTGATTGTGGCCGAGCCAGGTCTACTTTCTAAGTTGATCCAGGATTTTTTCCCTGGCAAGGAAACAGTTCTTTTTTAAGAAATGCATCGGGTGATAGGTTTTTCTAAGAACCTCTCGCACCTTTGCTGGGTGCAGATAAACCCTCAGGCACCGTGGATTGTGTTGTGTTCATTTTCCTCAGAAAGGGAGTCAGGTGGAAACGGGAGCCCCCAGAGACTCCAGCCTGGGTGGGGCTGAGTTTCCACACAGGCAGAGAGCTGTGACATTTTCCTGAGCACAGTGCTCCTTGCCTCTGGCCAGGCCTTGCTGGCTAAAGACAAGGAAGTCTGTGGGGAGGGCTGGGTTTGTCCCGGCCCCTGTTGGAGTCATTCCTTCCAGGCCTGAAGGCTGTGGACTGAAAGAACCGGCAGTTAGGGGCGGTTAGAAAAACTGAAACACTGGCGGGAGACAAGGAGGAGGCAGACGATGAGGCTGTCAGACCTGGCAAGGGCCTTTGGAAAATATTTAGTCCAAGGCTCTAGTTTGACAGATATTGAACCTGAGGCTCAGAGAAGGGAAGGGACTGCTCAAAGTCATATGCCAAGTTGGTGGCAGAGTCCACCTTGCAGGCTGAGGCCCTTTCCACCACCCCATGCAACATCTGAGAGGTCAGGATGTAGAAGTTGAGGCCGACTTGTGTGTGGTCTCAGAGGGGTAGAGAGCTAGGCCCAGCCAGGTGGGTGGGAGTTGCAGGGGCGGTTGCCTCAGTTCAACATGAGAAAGGACTTCCGAAGACTTCGAATTGTGCAGCAATGGTCAGGTGGCCGTGAGTGGAGATGAGCAGGTGGAAGCCAGGTGGCTTTGGATGGGTGAGCATTGTAGGAAGCTCCTCCCCAGGTGGTGAGCTGCACTGTCCCACACAGTCTGCGGTTGCTGAACTCCTGTCCCTCCAGGGAGGTGGGAGAAAGGGAAGTCACATGCCAGATGTGATTTAGACATACCCAGGGTCCTTGGGGGCCACCTCTCTGTAGGGGTGTCCAAAGGGAAGGGAAAGAACCGTCCCAGAAGATGCAAGAACCCCACCCTCCCAACTTGCTGGCAGGACAAGCTGACAAAGGGCAAGGAGGAGGGACACGTGGCTTCTCCGACGGTCTGCCCCCCATGCTGCAGGCGCAGAGGAGGGGGACTGAGCACCTCCTCTTCTCCCCAGGGACTGAGTGCCAAGAAACTCAGGTGAGAGGAGCCCTTCTGGGGTCCCAAGGGCAGTCCCCCCACCTTACCCTACATACCCTCATCCTACTGGTCCAGCCCCAGGCCACAGGCAGTATAGGGTCATCTGGACCCCCTCAGCCCCGGCCCCCCAGTGGGAATACACCCACCCGCTTGCAGGAGTCACCGTGGCCCCGTTTAAGCTGACTGAAGTGTGCCGTCGGTCTTTAGAGGCGTGTGTGGGAATGGTAGAAACCCAGGAGGGGCACCTTCAGCCTTTCCCAGCACTCGGTGCAGAGAAACAGCAGAGGAGGGAAAGGAGGCGTTATGGGTTCTAGGCCTGGCTTGGCCAAACTCACTGCATGGCCTCAGACCTGCTCTCTTGGGTCCCTTAACAGACCTTTCGCTTTGAGTCTGTTGTTGGGATCCCGGTTCACAGCGCAGGTGGAAAGCCTTCCTTGCAGTTGGTGGAAGCGCAGTTCCCGTAGAGACCGCCAGGAGCCGCTGCCGCGCACGGTCCCGGGGCGTCCTCAGCCTCCCTCGCGCCTCCGTCCGGACATATCCGCAGCGCTCCTTCACCTGGAGCGAGGAACGCTCCTTAGCCTCCTCTGGCTTTAAATGCTAACTAGCGCTAGCGCTGGGCTCAGGTCCCAGATGATCGTCTGTGAGAGGGAGCTTTGCAAAGCCAGCTACAGTTCTCTAGGGAGGCAAGGCTCCAAAGCTCAGGCTAGTCCCGGGCACTGCTTCAGGACCCCACAGATGGAAGGACTGATCCAGCCCATCGCACGGAAGGGGAAACCGAGGCCCAGCGGGGTAGGGGAGGTGCCAGATGATGTCCCTGAGCCTGTGGCAGAGAGGAGGAGGAGAGGTGAGAGTTCGCTCCTGTTCTTCATCTCTGGCCAAATCGCTGTCATCTGTGTGGAAGGAAAACCTGAACCCTGCTCTGTTTGTTTCTTCATGGCTGGGATTCTGCCTGGTTTCCATGGAAACTGGCTTTGGACCCTTGGGAGGAAAGTCGCACCCTGCCCTGACTGCTCAGATTTTCCTCTGCCTCCTCTGTCTCTGAAACCGTCTGATTTCTCCTCTCTGCGCCCTGAGGAGGGGCCACCCCAAAACTGCACTTAGGAGTCTGAACTAGATTTGAGGGAGGGAGGCTCAGGTTGTCTCTCCCTGTGTCCGTTCCTTCACAGCATCCCCTTGGCTCTGTGGATGTTTAGAGGAGGGGGGATGACTTTGGCCCTTTTTGCAGAGTGAGAGTGGGGCCCCCGTGTGTTGGGGTGCAGCTGAGCCTGACTGGAAAGATTTAGATGTAAGAAGATGGGGAAGAGTGATGTCACTAGAAGGAATAGCATGAGTGAAGGCAAAGACACGGGGGGAGAATGAGGAGATGAAGCAGAGGGTGTCTCGAGTAGAATTTTGCTTTTATGCTGAAGGCACTGGGGAGCCATTGAAGGCTTTGGAGCTTGTAATAGGAGCAGATGACTACTAATGGTCACCTAGATAGTGAGCTGCTTGAGCACACATGTTCCAGGCTTAGCTCCATGTCTCCAGCACTACACAAGGCACAATGTGGGAGCTTTAGAAATATGATCAAATTCATGAATTGGAAAAGTAAGTTGAAAACCCCCATTGGAAATGAAGCTATCTCTAAGCATTAATGAAGTGAGAGAATAAGACCGGTCAGATGCAGCCCCAGGAAGTGTTTGAAGGCAGTGAAAATACATAGAATAAATCACAGTGGATGTGGCTCTGAGAGTCTATCTGGTCTAACTCTCTGATGGGAAAACTGAGATCAGGGAGGGGGACTAGCTGGCCCAAGGTCACAGACAGAGTCTTGAACCTGAGTCCTTCCTCCCCTCCCTGGGTCTCTCATTGCCCCATGGATTCATGCCTCCCAGATGGGCTCTCTGGGCCAGTGGATCCAGCATCGTGGAGATGGGAGGGAACGTGGACTTTCAGGTGATGGATGGGCATGCAGTGAGGTCACTGTTGGATGTCAGACTGGAGCCCGACCTCAGTGACTCTCACCAGGGCCTCAGACTGTGAGCCTGGCACCTTCAATTCAGGAATGCCTAGGATTTAGTTCAGCCAGCAAACACTTCCTGAGGACCTGCTCAGGGACAGAGCCTGGGTGTGGGGGAGACAGGGAGAAGTGGACGCCAGTTCCTACACTTAAGGAGGTTCCAAGATGGTAGGGTCCAACACCTTAGTCATATAATGCCATATATGCTACATAGAGTCAGGGCCAAGTGCAGGAGCGGGAATGCCCAGACTACCTGGTGGGGGAATCCAAGAAGACTTCATGGAGGAGGTGATGACATTGAAGTTGGGCCCTGAGATGTGTGGAGCAGTTCCTCAAGTGGAGGGAACAGCATACACAAAGGCTCAAGGGTGTAAAATGTAGGACCCATTCAGGATACCTTGAGTTTTCCAGTATGACAATTGCATGGGAAATAGCAGGGTAATAATAATAGGGAAAGAAATGGCAGCTACCATTTATTAAGCACTCTGTGTGCTAAGCAGTGTGCTAAACATTTTAGGTATATTATTTTATTTAAGTCACACAACTGTCCTCTGAGAGAAGTATTATTATCTGGGGATAAGTGTGGGCCGCTTCCAAGAATCCTCAGGCTGCAGAGTTCCATCAGCATGCTCCACGCCAGTCCCCAGTCCCCTCCAAAATGGTGGGATGTCTTCCCACCAGCTGTGATCTCCACCCTCCTCCCTTCTTGCCCAGCACAGAGCCATCCAAGGTCAAGCCCATGGACCCAGTTGCTGGGCCTGTTTGTCTTGGCTCCCTGGCTTCTCCTCCCCTCCCTGGTGGCTGCCTAAACAGGTGGCCCTCCTGCTGGAGGCCAAAGGGAAATGAGCCAGCAGGCCCAGGCGCAGCCGCGAGTGAGCATGGGTCACTCCAGGTCAGGGGTCGTCCCCTACCACGCCATGCCATGGGACAGTGGATGTGGAAGGATGTGGTGGGGGTTGCTGAGAGCAGAGCTGGGCTGCTGGGGCTGACTTGGGCTTGCTCTACATTCATGGCTGGCCTCCCTCTTGGCGGACTCTGTGGAAACAAGGCCTGCGGGCCAGCGCCTATCCATGTGTCCTGTCTTGAATGGCTGAGGTCTAGGGGGATGGAGGGTGGGAGGGTTAGGAAGGGATCTTTTTTGCAGACTTTGGTTTTTGTTAAGCTTATACCTTGCATTTCCCATCTGTCGTCTCATTGAATCCCCACATGGGAAGTGGGCAGGGACCTCCCCTGATCACCAGGAAGTCATCGCCCAAAGGCTTTGTGTTTGGTAAAGGGCAAAGGAGGGGTCTCATCCCAGCTGTGTCCAAGGAAGAGGATGTTCTCCACTGCAGGCTGCCTCCTTTGCCCCCTCTCCAGCTGACCAACCATTGGCCAGGACCTGGAGTGGTCGGGGCTGTGGGAGGGCACCAGCTCTGGGACTCGTGGTACCAAGACTCTGTCCACCCTTGCTTGGCTGCCCCATCTGTTGCTTCCTGGCTGTGCCTCCTGGCCATGGAAGTCTCCCTGA